>NC_000012.12:42763158-42914673 GCF_000001405.40 Homo sapiens | reverse complement strand
AACAACAAAAATTTTTTTTCAGGTAACTTTATAGTGAAAAACCTAACAAACCCTACCTCAGCCAGGTGACCAACGTCAACATCAACAGTGATAAGTCGTGTTTATAGTAGGTAGGTAACTTGGATATGATGTGATGACAGTGGTACTTTACCTCTGTGGTCCTCCTCCCAAAAACATAGAACCCCAGGCCAATTATAAGGAAAACATCAGACAAACCTCAACTGAGGGACATTCCACAAAACATTTGACCAGTACTCCTCAACACTTTCAAGGTCATCAAAAACAAGGAAAATCTGAGACACTATCACAACAAGAGAGGCCCAAGAAGACATGATGACTAAGTTCAACGTGGTATCTTTGGCTAGGATCCTGGATGGAAAAAGGACATTAGATAAAAACCAAGGAAATCTGATCAGACTATGGACCTTAAGAATGTATGAATATTAGTTTATTAATTATAAAAATAAGCTATAGTAATTTAATAAGTTAACAATGGCCAACACTGGGTGTTGGGTATATGGGTGCTCTCTGTACTATCTTTACAATGTTTCTCAAAATCTAAAACTGTTCTAAAATAAAAATATTCAAAAAAATTTTTTTCTTTGAACAAGACTTAGATAAGATCTGACCATACAACCAAGCAATCCCTGGCTAGACCAGGTTGAAGCCTGGCTCTGGCACTGACTGGCTGTGTGACCTTAAGCAGGTTACTTATAATCTTAGAGCTTCTTGACTCATCTGTAACATGGAGAGAATACGTAGTAAGATTTGCCAAAAGGATTGAATGGCTCAGTGCATGGACAGAATAAGCACTCATTCAGAATAATAACTGTTACCATTTTTACTACTATTATTATTTAAAGGCTGATTGCCTAGTACATGGCAATACTCAACAAATATTATTTCCTTTGTCCATTCCTCCTGAGTATTGGTTCTTTATGACACATACATACACTATCTAGAATATCAATAGATTTCAAGTGTCTGTGCAAACTCTATTAAAACAAGCACAGTATATATTCTACTACACAAAATGTCACCCTACACTAGAATCATGTGCCTATTCAAAGCGTCTACTGTGGAGAGGTATTCACTACATTCTGCCAGGCATTTATCCAGGGTGCACAGGCTGACAGTTTGTCATAGGCTGCCTTAGTCTCTTTAATCTTTTTCAAACCCTAGGTTGAGCTGGCCTCAGTCTTGTCTACTTACAAAATTTGCTAGTATTTCCATGTGTTCAAAACCTCTACTCCCCCACTAAACAAGGAGGATCTCTTTAAAAAGGGAGGGGGTGGTAAATGCACTATTAAGCCTATACATGAAATTCTAAAAAAAACAGAATTTTTTTTTTTTTTTGAGACATAGTCTTGCTCTGTCACCCAGGCTGGAGTGCAGTGGTACAATCTTGGCTCACTGCAACTTCTGCCTCCCGGGTTCAAGCGATTCACCTGCCTCAGCCTCCCAAGTAGCTAAGATTACAGATGCCCGCCACCACACCTGGCTAATTTTTGTATTTTTAGTAGAGACAGGGTTTCACCATGTTGGCCAGGCTGGTCTCGAACTCTTGACCTCAGGTGATCCACCTGCCTAGGCCTCCCAAAGTGCTGGGATTAACAGGCATGAACCACTGAGCTCAGCTAAAATATAGCATCTTTTGATAATTTTTTTAAAAAGCCAACTTTCTAAAACAAATCAGGAATGTGACCTCTGTGTTATTCAGGATGGTATAAGCAAAGAAAAGGAGAAAACTGATATTTCATAGTCATTGTACTGTTTTCACAAGAAAAGATACTTTCTTAAAAACACAAATATACTCATTTTTGGTAATATATATTAATCATGTCATACAAAATATACATGAACAAAAAAGAAAAATATTTCTAAGTTTGAAAAGTACATGTCCCCCATCTTAACTCTGATGTTTAAAAAATTCTCTACATTCCTTTGGTTTATTTTATGTCAATAGACAATGTTTTTCAGGCTTTGTCCCAGCTCTGGCCCTATCCATTCAAATGTGATGCCATTTCATTTCACTGCATCAACATATGGAGCACATGGAATACGTCCTTGGCACAGTGCTAGGCCTTCTGAGGACACAAAGGAGGAATGTCACAATCACTGTCCTCAGGTGACTTACTCTAGAGCAGAGGAAATGAAACATGAACATTATTATGTGCTTGGCTAGAATATAAGAGCTATAAAAGACACTTAATCAAAGTGCCATGAGATTGCTGAAGAGAGAGATGTTAATTCCAACCAGAGGGATCAAGAAACTCATGAGCAAGGGTTGGTCCTAAAAAATTGGTAGTATTTTGACAGCCAAAGAAACACAGGAAGGGGAGGGACCCAAGAAGTGGAAGGACATTCATAGAAGCCAGAAAGTGGAGTTCATAATCTAGCTTAGTCTTAACTGTTCCACATCAACAGCATTTTGTTGCTTCTTAAGGATAATATCTCAATTTTGTAAAGTTCACCAGATGTGATTTTTTCTTTCTGTTTTGTTTTGTTTTTGAGACAGGGTCTGGCTCTCTCACCCTGGCTGGGGTACAGTGGTGCAATGGCTCAGTCTTGGCTCACTGCAGCCTCCACCTTCCAGGCTCAAACGATCCTCCCACATTAGCCTCCAGAGTAGCTGGGGCTACAGGCACACGCCACCATGCTCAGTTAATTTTTGTATTTTTTATAGAGACTGGGGTTCTCTATAGAGAACTGGTCCCGAACTCCTGAGCTCAAGTGATCTGCCCACCTCAGCCTCCCAAAACTGCTGGAGTGCTGGGATTACAGGCGTGAGCCACCATACCCGGTTCTTTTTTTTTTTTTTTTTTTTTTGGATTCTTTCCTATCTATCAGAGTAACTGGGTGTTGGGGCTCAGAAAATGATATCCAAGAGTGAAGACATCAGAAGCAGACTCAAAAGCAAAGCTTCCCTCTGCCCTCCCCCTGACCTCTTGTCTCTCACTCCTCCTTCTCTCCCACCACAAACCCCTGTCCCATGGCAAGCCATAGCAACTAAGAATTCTTCTTCCCCAAGTAGGTAATAGAAATCTGAATCCATTTTCCCCAAAGCCAGCCATAAAACCTAAAAATATGATTTTAACCTTAGCCCACCTCTCTGTGTAAGAGCTGGCCATTAAGAAATTCCCTACCTTGTCTGATTATAGGTCATAAGACCCCAATTCCAGAAAGGGTCCTGCCCCATACCCAGAAGGAAGGAATGCTGCTCAGAGAGGCCAAGAAGAATCTAGACAGACGGGCCTTGCTGGCTTTCCCTACTCCGTCTAATAGCATTCGATCATACCTCTATGTGTGTGTGTCCAATCACAGTTCTACACAGCTGTTCATTCTCTAAACCTAAGCATAAAAATGGATTGTTTTCCCTGTATCTTTGGGTCTTTGTTCTCAAGGATCCCCAGTAACATAAAACTATGATTAAACACATTTGTTATGCTTTTCTCTTATTAACTGGTCTTTAGATGTCGGAAGTGATCCTTATGATGGGAAGGAAAGGGGTTATCTGCTTTCCATCCCTATGTGGGTGATGCACAGCATTTAATTTTGTCCTGATTCCTGGAGAAACTTCCCCTCTGGGTCTCTCCAGCCTTTTATAGAAGAGACATGTGATGCCACTGCGATTGTCCCTGAGATTCCATTGGCCAGGTTTAGGTTTTGTTTATGTGAATAACTCAATGCAACTTAGAAATCTGCCTTTTATAGAACGGATACTATCATAAGTCCAGCGCAGTGGTTCCTGCTTGCAATCCCAGCACTTTAGGAGGCCGAGATGGGTGGATCACCTGAGCTTAGGAATTTGAGACAAGCCTGGGCAACATGGCAAGATTCTTGTCTCTACCAAAAATAAAACATTAACTGGGTGTGGTGGCAGCGTCTGTGGTCCCAGCTACTTGGGAGGCTGAGGTGGGAGGATCCCTTGAGCCTGGGAGGTGGAGGTTGCAGACAGCCAAGGTCACTGCCACCGCACTCCAACCTGGGTGACAGAGTGAGACCCCATCTCAAAAAATAAAGAACCAATACTACCATAAAACAGGGAATATATGCTCAAGGGAATTACCTTAACAGGACACTTATAAAATGAAAAATCTAAAAAGAGATGTATGTTTTCACAAACACAGAGCTCAGAAAAATGTAGTCATTCTTGTCATCAACTGTCCCTAATGGATTCCAGTTCATATGTAAGATCTACCTTTGTGAGTCATAGGGTGTTTCAATCAACCAAGTATGTGACCTTTAGGCAAATTACTGAACTGAACTTCAGTTTTTCACAGGTAAAATAAAAATCTGAGTTGTCAACATGGAATCAGAAAATTAAAGGATCAGAGCTCTAGAACCTACTGAGAAATGTGCTTGGACATAAAACTGAATTTTAAGAGATATGTCTGGAAACCTTAGAAAATTCTCAAATTTCCCCAAAACACAAGGTAAGACATGGTGGTTAAAATGGCCACTGACCTGGGCTCAGTGGCTGATGCCTATAATCCCAGCTATGTGTGAGGCTAGGGTAGGAGGATCACTTGAGCCCAGGAGTTAGAGACAAGCCTGGGCAACACAGTGAGACCTCATTTCAAAAGAAAAAAAATAAGGCTCACCTAGGAGCAAAGTGACACTCTGTGAGGTGGTGGTGCTATAGCCTATAGGATAGCCTGGGATAGGGAAGCATCATGGCTAAGAATGCCTGTGGTCTGCCTGAGATGGATTCTAAGAAATCCCTGCTGATGCCAATCCTGTCTAATTAGCTCCTCTAGATAGAAATAGTCTTCGGTAAACTGTGACTAGGTTTCCTCCTCCATTCAATAAAGGATCACTAAGAAAAATCTAATTGTATTTGTATAATCGTATTTCAGAAAATTGGGTCACAAGAGCCATGATATCCCCAAATATTAGATAGATAATTCAATCAACTATCTTCACAGTTACAAAGTATACAGCATAGGAGGGAGAAGGAAGGAGTCAAACCCAGTCTGGTAGGAATCAAACCTTCTTAACCTGATGTGGGAATGGCTTCCTGGAGGAAGCAGGCATTACTGCAATAACTATTGGGGTTCCATCTGCTGCTGGCATGTCTGGTCAGGACTTGAAATCAGAGAGACCCAAGTGGGCTATAATACAGGAATTCCAAGTAGCAAGGACTTGATATATTCCACCTCATCTAGAAATAGATGCACATGTCTTGCTCTTCTATTTAAGTGAAAGCTGTTTGAAGACAAGGACCTTGATATTTTGTAATCCTTCCCAGGTCCCATGCAGTGCCTGGTACCAGGTACTGACAGGTGTCAGTGAACAGTATGAATTCACATCACGCAGCCCTGGAGATGGAAGAATCAGAAAGTTACTATTCACTATTCCTGCTAGGATAGCTGGACTCTTCCCAGTCATGACCCTGGCAAAGGAGAAGGATAATCCTTATACATGAGCAAGGAAAATCCAGCACTGAAGCTTTTCTCACCGCTCCCAGGTGTAAATGTGCCCAAACAGAAAACAGAAAGATGAGCATACATATTGGCTTTGCAAATATTATACACAAGAGTGAGCTCTCTTCCCTATCCTGTAGCCACATCATCCTACCTCACCCCACCTTCATGGCAGAAAAGTCTGGGGTGTGGAGCTAAATAATAATGCTAAGTTGAATTTCATTCACATTTACTAGGTACTATGGTAGATTTTTTACTCTTGTTCAAAAATATTTTCTCTTCTTCCCTGTGAGAGATTTATTTTTCCTTTCCTCACAGGAGGCAGACTTGGCAGTGTGGTTTCCTTTGGCAATGAAATGCAAGTGGAAGTAACGCTCTCCTCTGAGCTCGAAGAGAGAGTCCATGGCTTAATATTATCCCTTTCTCCTCTGCCGTGAGATCTGTAACATTCCAGATAAAAACCACTCTATCAGGCCAGGCACGGTGGCTCACGCCTGTAATCCAAGCACTTTGGGAGGCCAAGGTGGGCGGATCACCTGCAGTAAGGAGTTCGAGACCAGCCTTGCCAACATGGCGAAACCCCATCTCTACCAAAAATACAAAAATTAGCTGGGGATGGTGGCACATGCCTGTAATCCCAGCTACTAAGAGGCTGAGACAGGAGAATCGCTCAAACTCGGGAGGCGGAGGTTGCAGTGAGCCAAGATCACGCCACTGCACTCCAGCCTGGGCAACAGAGTGAGACTCTGCCTCAAAACAAACAAACAAAACCCCACTCCATCAGCCTGGGTCCCACATTAAATAGGAGGTAGAGCAGAGGCCGAGCTGGCCAATGGTAGACATCTGGTGTAGGCAAGAAAATAACCCTTTTTTCTCATAAGCTACCAAAATTTTAGGGTAGTTTGCTATTGCAGCATAACATAACCTATTAGATTGATACAAGCATACTCTCTAAGCATAGGGAAGTGTGCTTGGTGCCAGGAATACAAAGGCCAGTGGCACAGACCCTTATTTTAAGAGATTCCGATTGAGTGATGGAGGCAGAAATATACTAAGCAAAATATGATATGAATCAGATTTGTGAGGCAAATTTCATAGAATCTCTCCTGATAAACTTATCTTAAGGGAATGCAATACAAGGGCACACTGCAGCTGATTGGCTAACATGGTCCTTGTATCCAAAGAGTGGCATTTGAAGATTATAGAATCCAGGGGATTCTAGAGTGTATTATTTGTTATTCACAGAAATTAAGATGTAGAGTTGTGCATGGTGACTCACGCCTGTAATCCCAGCACTTTGGGGGGCTAAACTGGGAGAATCATTTGAGCCTAGGAATTCAAGACCAGCTTAGGCAACACAGGAGACCCCATCTCTACAAATAATTTTAAAATTAGCCAGGGATGGTGGCAAAATCAGCCAGACGTGGCGGAAAAATTAGTCAGGCATGGTGATGTGTGCCTGTAATCCCAGTTACTTGGGAGGCTGAGGTAGGAGGGCCACTTGAGCCCAGGAGTTTGAGGTTGCAGTGACCTATGATCACATCACTGCACACCAGCCTGGGCAACAGAGCCAGACCCAGTCTCTAAAATGAAAAAAAAAAAAAGTAGGATGTCGATATGTCCCAGTTTGCCCAGAATAGCTCAGGCTTATATTGGTTGTTCTGGTGGCATTATCAATACAATCTCCTTTTATGCATCAAGGTATCTCAGTTTAGATGACAAATTATACTATCACTCTAACAACAATAGAGCTCATGGACTGCTAATAGCTAAGGATGGCCTACTGGACAGGCCACATTTACCACATGGCTGTATGTACTGGTCAGACCATGTGTTCCAGATAGACCAGCATGTCCAAGATGGTCTGCACACCCAGCTCCCTATGAAGAAAGCAGCCCAAAAGGCTCAAAAAAAAAAAAAAACCACAAACAAACAAACAAACAAACAAACACTATGCCTTTCCATCATGATTCCCTAGCCCCAACTGATTAGACCTAAAAATATGCAAAGTTGTCCATGGATAGTCTGGACATAAGGGAGATTAACCATTGATATGGTTTGGCTGTGTCCCCACTCAAACCTCATCTTGAATGCCCATGTGTTGTGGGAGGTAATTGAATCATGAGGGCAGGTCTTTCCCAAGCTGTTCTCATGATAGTAAATCTCACGAGATCTGATGGTTTTAAAAAGGGGAGTTTCCCTGCACCAGCTCTTATTTCATGCTGCCATCCATGTAAGACATGACTTGCTCCTCCTTGCCTTCCACCATGATTGTGAGGCCTCCCCAGCCATGTGAAACTAAGTCCATTAAGTGCTTTTTCCTGTATAAATTACCCAGTCTTGGGTATGTCTTTATCAGCAGCGTGAAAACAGACTAATACAACCATTTATGAGATGACACATTTTGAAATTTGTTTATTTATTCAAGAAATATTTACTAAGTACCTATTCTGTGCCAGACCCTCCATATGGAATAGTGACAAACTAACGCAACTAGATGTCCTCTCTTGGGAAGCATGATATGGGAAGATGCACAGGGGAAGGGAGCAGGAACAATGAACTTCACTTCTGAGAAGATAACAAGAGGTCACCACAGCTGCTGTTTATCTGGAACCCAGTGGGCTATCATCCCAGAACTCCTCACTCCCTACTGAACATCCCAGTCATGGCAATGCTGGAACCATGTGTATTAATAACCAGCTTTGTGGTGTTGAAATGGTTTAAACTTCCTCCTGATTTCCACATGCATCCTTAAAACCAATCCCCACCTTGAGTTGCCAAAGTTAGCAAATAAAAATATAAGATGCCAGTTATATTTGAATTTCAGATAAACGGCAATATTGCATAGGACAAACTTATACTACAAAATTATTTGTTGTTTATCTGAAATCCAAATTTAACTGGGTCTGCTAGATTTTGTCTGGCAACCTTACCCCTCTTGCATATGCAGGGATAGGCAGGACAGGAGGGTGGGGCACAGGGAGTGTAGTAACAGCAGCTAAGGGAGCTACTGTCACCTCTGGTGCTGGTTCCATTTTCACCATTCACTCAACTTCAGTAAGATATTCCTTTTTGAAAAATCTCCACATTGAACTCCATTTCCAGAATCTGGAACCTCTCTTGGCCCATTATTCCTAAATTCTGATCTGGTCCCCTGAGCAGTGTGGCTTAATGGAAAGAGTTCAAATCTTAGTGTTGCCATTAGTGATTGTGTATGACCTTGGACAAGCCTCTTAATCTCTCAGGGACTTGGTTTCATCAACAAGAACATGGGCATTAGAATTCCTTGCAGGGCTGTCCAAAGATGTAGGGCCATTCATTCATTTATTCAATGAATGGTGGGCCAAGTTCCCTTGTAGGTTCCCTGCTGATGGTGATCAAGACATAGGCCCTTCCCTCAAGGAACTCGCAATCCAGTGAGATATGAAACAGTGAATTAGCAAATGAAATGCGTTGTGATATAAACAGTTATTGGTATAGAGAACATTTCTAGCCTAATGCCTAGCTCCTGACAGTTGCTCAAGAAATAATAACTAATATTGTCTCTAGGGACAAAAATCTGGGTCTCTCTTTCTCCCTACCTCAACCTAGCATTCTTCCAAGTGCTTAAGGGCTGCTGTGGTTTTCAGGCCCAGAGTGAGGCTCCTGATGCCAGGCTGACACCTTGGGCTGCCTTGCCAGACCTCTACCTTGGCTGCTCAGTCCCACTCACCTGCCAGCACCTCCTGTTACCTCCCACTAGGCCACCCAGTTGCCCGCCTCCCACCCTGAAGGCTGGCCCTGACCCACTGGTTCCGTCAATCTCTTTCAGGGCCCAGGCATCCACAGTAGAGATGAGCAAGTGAGGACAATCCCTACTGTGCCCTTTCACTTAGGCAAAAAATATGCCTGTCTCGTATAACAGTTCTCTTTTTTTAGCAAGACCTTCAGCATGCAGGCAATTGCTATGTGACGAGCATAGTGTTGATGTTAAAGATTTATAACAGTGTCAGAGATGGAAATAGCATATGATCCAGGTTTTCCAACCAGGAAGTGGGTTTATTCATGCAGCCACCTCTTTAATTCTGCTTCAACTTTCTAGCTTCTGGGTTGGCTCAAGCAATGTCAAAACCTGTGACTGTAGCACCGGCAGCTTGAGAGTGGGAGTGTCAGTGCAGATCTATTTCTGTGGCAAGTTCAGTACAGACCGAATTTAAAATATGAAAAGCAAAAGTGAGGCTCATGACGGTGCCACGAAAGGGGTGGGGGGAGGCACACAGGACTTCTACAGAAGCGCCATCAACCTCCTCCCAACTGCAAGTCATTACAAACGTTTCTCTATTCCAGCTTCTAACATGATGTGCCAAGCTGAAAAAGAGGCAAATCATTGTGGGGTTTTACTGTGCCTGCTTTTAGTAGCCAGCTCTGGTCGCGCCAACCCTCCTATCCTCTCGCCAGATATAGAGTTGCAACACAGAGGAGATTGTCTTTTGCTGAATAGAGGAATGGCAAAGTCCCCACAAACCAATCGTTGAAGAACTAGGCCTTACTGTGCACTTAGGAGTCCAAAGGACAAAAGGAAGGAGAGCCGTTGCTGCACTACAGGACCGCGGTGCATTGCAGGCACAAGGGAAGGGAGGCTGGGGGCAGTTGTTTTTCAACTTAACTGTCCATAGGTATCTCCACCAATAGCTGGGGTCCAACATCAGTGAATCATAAGATTTAAACGCCCAATGACAAAATTAGCATTAGCAAAATTAATGTGGGGCAGTCTTGTGGTAGTTTGAGTTTTTCATCCTTCTTGATGGGGTACACATGTAGCCTCTCGCATGTCCTCAATGGGAACAAGACTAGTGAAAAGGCTGTTTGTAGGGTACTGTTTACTTGGCCTGCTCCCTCTCTGCATCCTCGCTTGCCAATTTCGGTTAGGCCTCCATTCTGGCCTGGGAGAATTAAGAGGCCCTCGCTTATACCACAACTGGCTTTGAAAAGCATGAAGAAAACCGAGCACTCCTATTTGCAATGAGCAAAGAGCTTAGGATGAAACAGCCTTGTGGAGGGGGGAGGGGGAAGACACAGGAACTCGCTGCCTTTTCTTCCCCTGAGGTATAAAGATGCTCTTGGCTCCGCAGCATCTTGTGTCTAGAACATCCTTCTGATGTTGTGAGTCTTCATTGTTCCAGTGGTGATTTGTGGTACGTGGTCACTAATTTTCCTTTCTCTTTAAATGCCTGTGTCTGCTTTTTGGCATATCTTACCGTTCCTTCTCCATGGAATGAGTTTCAACCAGAAATGGAAAAAAGGATTTCCAACAGATAAACTTTTTCACTTGTCTAGCTTTTGCAGTACAATTCATATTTTCAACATAAATTTTTTCATTACCAGATTGGAAAAGATTAAGTTTAAACTCCATGACGGCCATGTCATCATTTATTTGGATTTCCTCCCATTTTTTAGTATAACTTCTTAGTGATATAGAGACTAAAAATTTCCAGAACTGAAAATACATTTTTTAAGCTATGAGGTATTATCTGTAGCCCATGGAATTTTATTCATTTATTAATCCAACTAATACAGTGTTCCTTGAGTACAAGATGCCATACCCAAAACTAGGTGTTATAAATTCAGCAAAATAAACACAGTCCCTGCCTTCAAGGAGTCAGCGTTAATTCTCACACTCATTCTTTTTTTTTAATTTTTTTATTTTTTGAGATGGAGTCTCATTCTGTCGCCCAGGCTGAAGTGCAGTGGCACGATCTTGGCTCACTGCAACCTCTGCTTCCCAGGCTCAAGCGATTCTCTTGCCCTGACGTCCTGAGTAGCCGGGACTACAGGTGCTTGCCACCACGCCTGGCTAATTTTTGTATTTTTTAGCAGAGACAAGGTTTCACCATATTGGCCAGGCTGGTCTCAAACTCTTGACCTCATGATCCACCCGCCTTGGCCTCCCAAAGTGCTGGGATTACAGGTGTGAGCCACTGCACCTGGCTGCCCATTCTTTATTTTACACATATTTATTGAGCACTACAATCTACTAGACAATTATTGTCAGGCCTGAGAATACAGTGAGGAACAAAATAATGTCCTGGTCCTCATAGTATTTCTGTATTCTTATTTTTTTTCTCAGTTCTAATGGCCTATTTTATACAAACTTTTGATTCTACAACTGAAAAACAACTATGATGACCATCACCAGTGGTCTAAGAAAATGCCCTTCCAAAATTTTCAACTTTTTATTAATTTCAGCTATTTTAGCCAGTTAAATGCAAGTCAGATTTATCCTGCTTGAGTCAATTCATTAAACTGAAGTCTTAGCTGTTTGAATGCTGTTTTGGGGTTTTTTGTGTTTTTTGGTTTTTTCGGAGACATAGCCTCACTCTGTCACTGAGGCTGGCGTGCAATGGCGTCGTGGTCTCAGCTCACTGCAAGCTCTGCCTCCTGGATTCAGGCAATTCTCATGCCTCAGCTTCCCGAGTAGCTGGGATTACAGGCATACACCACCAAGCCCAGCTAATTTTTTTGTATTTTTAGTAGAGATGGGGTTTTGCCATGTTGGCCAGGCTGGTCTCGAACTCCTGACCTCTAGTGATCCGCCTGCCTCAGCCTCTCAAATTGCTGGCATTACAGGCTTGATCCACCACACCCGGCCAGAATGCTGTTTTGTAACAGAAAACACAATCAGAAAGACTCTATTTTCCAGGAGATTCTGCTGATCATGGCTCTAAAATAAACACTTTTATATCCATCCTAATGGATTTCTTAAATTTTTATTGAGACAAGGAAAAATAATTCGCTAAAAATAAATAAAATCAACTTATAATTCTACCCAAGAAGAACTAACAGGGGTCTGATATACCCTCCCATCAGAAACACTGAAAATAATAGGCCAAGAATATAAAAAAGTAGGTTCTTAAAACATAGGACTTCAGGTAACAAATGACAGTGATCTTTGAGAGATGGGCCCTATGTCTGCCCCAGCTTGCTGCTTGGAGAGCATTTCCAGGCTGCAGGGCAGGGAAGGAAACCTGGCTGAGTCCAACAGTCTCCTTGAGTTGAGGAGACACTGCTGAATGTCTGCAGGGCCCCAGGCACCTAGAGTTCGCAGGGTAGGGGATGGGTAGAGAAGAGAGCTCTAATTGAGACTGAGAAGAAAGCAGCTTTCAGTTTGCTTTAAAGCTAAACTATTATGCGAAAGTAGTAAGACCTGAAAAATGTTTCCTTGACTGTTCAGAGGCAATTGACTCTAGGGCATTTTCTGTGAAAGAGCTTTATCATCCGTCTGACTGAACACCACAATTTTGCTACTTGATCGTTTGAGAGCAACCATAAGGCCTAGGTTCCCAAATTGGCTGTATTTGGAGAAACACTCCTTCCTGAGTCAGATACTACCTTACAATAATTTCTGTTTTGGTCTGGCTAGCTAAATGATGTAGATGGTGAAGTAAAGAACACATCCTAATAACAAGAACAATTGCCAATCACCTGGCATTGGATGAATAGGAACACCAGCCTATATCATCCGAGATATGATCTACCACTTCCTCTGTAGGCCTTGGTGGTTGGAGATGTATCCTTAAAGGCCACCTCGTGTCTCTGTCTCAAACAGGAGGCCCACTGTTTTTCACCTGAATATAAGCAACTCATCTCCTTTCATGATAATTATCATGTTCTGACTTCCTTTCCTTATTGATCTACAGCAGCATTGATCATCCTCCATTTTAACATCTTTAAGATCTTTATTGTTCACAATTCCTAGATTAACTGTCCTTTCGTTTGCAAGGAATATCAGTGTTCTTTGAGAGTGTCTTTCTTGATTCACCTCATAAATGTCATTCTATTCTGTACTCATTATGTTAATAGTACTCATTGTACTACCCTTAATTGTTAAATTAATACTACTCATTATACCAGCTCTACTCCTACACACCTTCTCGTATAATTTAATCTACTGCCATGTTTCCAACTTCCAGCTATAAAATTAAGTTTCCCATTTATCTCCAGAGCGGAACTCTTGACCTACATATTCAGCTGCTTTCTGGACTTTTCTACCTATATACCGTGCAAGCACCAGAATATGTGAATTTTCCCTGTTCCTGATTCCAATTAACAGCACCATGGTCCACTAAAATACTCAAACCAAACTGCCATCACCACAACAAATTCTCACCAAGTGCTTAGTCTTGAGTCCCTCGAAGAAGCCTATTTATGCAACATGAATGTTACTCAAATCTGCACCCATATCCCTATCTTTTTTCCAACTCTCATGTGTTCTTTTAAGCACAGATCTCTTTGGAAGACAAAATAGACCATCTTAAGCCCTTGTTTAAAAAGTGTCCTGCTTTTTAAAAGATGTCATGATTAAGCAGCATAGAGCATAGAAGAGAAAATATCCTCCTCTTTACAAGCATATATAAATAATAAATCAAATTCAACAAAATATTTTAATACATAGCTGAGCTCAAAAGAAAAAAAGGAAACC
The DNA here is from genome assembly GCF_000001405.40 of Homo sapiens. Taxonomy (NCBI): domain Eukaryota; kingdom Metazoa; phylum Chordata; class Mammalia; order Primates; family Hominidae; genus Homo; species Homo sapiens. Next base: position 42,900,789 of record NC_000012.12, on the reverse strand, counting down.
AGAAACAAAGCAGGATCCAAAGCCAGAACACTCAGCTAAAATAGTAACATGGCCTGGTGGTACATTGGGACCATTTGGACATAAGGAGTAGAAGGACAGAAAACATAGCCTTGAGGTCATGCAAGGTGAGGATCTGGAACTGCGATTTGTAGCTGGGACTCAGAAGAGACTGTCACCAGCTCTTGGGAATTGTCAAGGTAGATGAAATCTGCTCAAGATTCTCTGTGGAGATATAAGTCTTCCAGGAGAAACTGAAATTTCAGGCCTTTAACACACACTGGAGTGGAACACAGTATTACAGAACCTGAAGCCTGAAGAAATCTGCAAGTTGATGGTATTTTGATATAAATATTACTTCTATGTCAATGAAACCCTTGGAGCATCTAACAGAAGCAAAGACAAAATAACCCTATAGTCACCATTTCACCACTCAGCAAGCATGAGACCTCTCAAAAATAAACATTATGTTATGAAGATGAGCTTACAGCACAGGAGGACGGGATTTGCTAAGAAAAGTTGTAGACATAACAGAGAGATTCACACTACGAAGAATATAGCATAAAATAACAATCTGGGAGCAGCTACAAAATAAAACTACTGCCTTAAAACTATTAAGGAGGTGAAAGAAGAAAAAATATAAAGAAAAAGAAAATGGAAATATAAAATGATGGACAATTTGGAAAAGAACATTTATAACATCAAGATGAAAAATTTAGTCATTGAAGTAAAAGCTCAATGAACTGAGGAAATAGTATGTTATATGCAGCTGAAGAAATCATTAGTGAATGAGAAAATGGCTCCAAGGAAATTATGCATAAAGGAGCACAAAGAAATGAAGAGACAGAAAATAGCAAAGAAAGGTTAAAATAAGATCTATCTGGAGAATAGAATGAGAAGGTTCAGCATATATAATAGGAATTACAAGAGGAGAGAATAAGCAGAATGACAGAGAGGTCACCTTTGAAAAGATAATAACTAAGAAACTTGTGAGACTGACAAAAGGCATGAATCCTCAAATTTAAGACTGAGACTCAGAGAGACTGTCACCAAACAAAACACATGAATTCTAAAATTTAAGAAGCATATCTAGTGGCATAAATAAAAACCATTCTGGCTTTTATTGGTGAGATTCCAAAACACCAGTGACATCATAAAAAAATCATAGTAGCAATCAAAGAGAAAAGACAGATAACCTAAAAAGGAATAATAGTTAGACTGCCAGCATGCTTCTCTCTAATAATAATAGAAGCCAGAAAATAATGAACAAAGGTTTGTAAAACGCTAAAGGAAAAATAACAATGATAACCAGCAGGAAGAAATTGGCTCACTCAAGCTCGATAATTGAAGCAAGTTCAATACAGGGACTAGCTGCAAAGGTAAGGGCAGGTTTTAGAAAAAGCAACAAGAATGATATGATACCCCAGGGTTAATAACAGCTGGAAATGGTACAACTCCTAAGCTTAAAGAAACAAAAGGGGGTCACTTACTGGGACCTGCAGAAAGTTGATGGGGAAGGCTACCTATTTGGTAGTTTTAGCCTTTAGTTAAGGGATGCAACCAACCTAAAGTAAGCCCCCAGAGAGAAGTAAAGGAAATAAATACCCCATTCCCATTCTCCTCCCTCCAACCAGTTTCTGCCAGAATCTACTATTGCTTTACCCAACCAGAAGTCAAAGAAATTGTTCATTCAGTCTACACAGATCAGCTTCTTGAGCAGTGAGCAGGATATGGAAGGGTAAAGAATGGGTCTAACAACATGCCAGAATCTCTGGGACACATTTAAAACAGTGTGTGGAGAGAAATTTATAGCACTAAATACCCACAAGAGAAAGCAGGAAAGATCTAAAATTGACACCCTAACACCACAATTAAAAGAACTAGAGAAGTAAGAGCAAACACATTCAAAAGCTAGCAGAAGGCAAGAAATGACTAAGATCAGAGCAGAACTGAAGGAGATAGAGACAGAAAAAACCCTTCAAAAAATCAATGAATCCAGGAGCTGGTTTTTTGAAAAGATCAGCAAAATTGATAGACTGCTAGCAAGACTAATAAAGAAGAAAGAGAGAAGAATCAAACAGACACAATAAAAAATGATAAAGGGGATACCACCACCGATCCCACAGAAATACAAACTACCATCAGAGAATACTATAAACACCTCTACGCAAATAAACTAGAAAATCTAGAAGAAATGGATAAATTCCTCGACACATACACCCTCCCAAGACTAAACCAGGAAGAAGTTGAATCTCTGACTGGACCAATAACAGGCTCTGAAATTGAGGCAATAATAGCCTACCAACCAAAAAAAGTCCAGGACCAGACGGATTGACAGCCAAATTCTACCAGAGGTACAAGGAGGAGCTGGTACCATTCCTTCTGAAACTATTCCAATCAACGGAAAAAGAGGGAATCCTCCCTAACTCATCTTATGAGGCCAGCGTCATCCTGATACCAAAGCCTGGCAGACATACAACAAAAAGAGAGAATTTTAGACCAATATTCCTGATGAACATCGATGCAAAAATCCTCAATAAAATACTGGCAAACCAAATCCAGCAGCATGTCAAAAAGCTTATCCACCATGATCAAGTGGGCTTCATCCCTGGGATGCAAGGCTGGTTCAACATATGCAAATCAATAAACGTAATCTAGCATATAAACAGAACCAAGGACAAAACCCACATGATTATCTCAATAGATGTAGAAAAGACCTTTGACAAAATTCAACAGCTCTTCATGCTAAAAACTCTCAATACATTAGATATTGATGGGATATATCTCAAAATAATAAGAGCTATTTATGACAAACCCACAGCCAATATCATACTGAATGGGCAAAAACTGGAAGCATTCCCTTTCAAAACTGGCACAAGACAGGGATGCCCTCTCTCACCACTCCTATTCAACATAGTGTTGGAAGTTCTGGCAAGGGAAATCAGGCAGGAGAAAGAAATAAAGGGTATTCAATTAGGAAAAGAAGAAGTCAGATTGTCCCTGTTTGCAGATGACATGATTGTATATTTAGAAAACCCCATCGTCTCAGCCCAAAATCTCCTTAAACTGATAGGCAACTTCAGCAAAGTCTCAGGATACAAAATCAATGTGCAAAAATCACAAGCATTCCTATACACCAATAACAAACAAACAGAGAGCCAAATCATGAGTGAACTCCCATTCACAATTGCTTCAAAGAGAATAAAATACCTAGGAATCCAACTTACAAGGGATATGAAGGATCTCTTCAAGGAGAACTACAAACCACTGCTCAATGAAATAAAAGAGGACACAAACAAATGGAAGAACGTTCCATGCTCATGGATAGGAAGAATCAATATCGTGAAAATGGACATACTGCCCAAGGTAATGTATAGATTCAATGCCATCCCCATCAAGCTACCAATGACTTTCTTTACAGAATTGGAAAAAACTACTTTAAAGTTCATATGGAACCAAAAAAGAGCGTTCATTGCCAAGACAATCCTAAGGCAAAAGAACAAAGCTGGAGATATCACGCTACCTGACTTCAAACTATACTACAAGGCTACAGTAACCAAAACAGCATGGTACTGGTACCAAAACAGAGATCTAGACCAATGGAACAGAATAGAGCCCTCAGAAATAATACCACACATCTACAACTATCTGATCTTTGGCAAACCTGACAAAAACAAGAAATGGGGAAAGGATTCCCTATTTAATAAATGGTGCTGGGAAAACTGACCAGCCATATGTAGAAAGTTGAAACTGGATGCCTTCCTTACACCTTATACAAAAATTAACTCAAAATGGATTAAAGACTTAAACGTTAGACCTAAAACCATAAAAACCCTAGAAGAAAACCTAGGCATTACCATTCAGGACATAGGCATGGGCGAGGACTTCGTGTCTAAAACACCAAAAGCAATGGCAACAAAAGCCAAAATTGACAAATGGGATCTAATTCAACTAAAGAGCTTCCACACAGCAAAAGAAACTACCATCAGAGTGAACAGGCAACCTACAGAATGGGAGAAGGTTTTTGCAATCTACTCATCTGACAAAGGGTTAATATCCAGAATTTACAAAGAACTTAAACAAATTTACAAGAAAAAATCAAACAACCCCATCAAAAAGTGAGCAAAGGATATGAGCAGACACTTCTCAAAAGAAGACATTTATGCAGCCAAAAAACACATGAAAAAATGCTCATCATCACTGGCCATCAGAGAAATGCAAATCAAAACCACAATGAGATACCATCTCACACCAGTTAGAATGGCAATCATTGAAAAGTCAGGAAACAACAGGTGCTGGAGAGGATGTGGAGAAATAGGAACACTTTTACACTGTTGGTGGGACTGTAAACTAGTTCAACCATAGTGGAAGACAGTGTGGCAATTCCTCAGGGATGTAGAACTAGAAATACCATTTGACCCAGCCATCCCATTACTGGGTATATACCCAAAGGATTATAAATCATGCTGCTATAAAGACACATGCACACATATGTTTATTGCAGCACTATTCACAATAGCAAAGACTTGGAACCAACCCAAATGTCCATCAGTGATAGACTAGATTAAGAAAATGTGGCACATATACACCATGGAATACTATGTAGCCATAAAAAATGATGAGTTCATGTCCTTTGTAGGGACAGGGATGAAGCTGGAAACCATCATTCTGAGTAAACTATCGCAAGGACAGAAAACCAAACACCACATGTTCTCACTCATAGGTGGGAATTGAACAATGAGAACACTTGGACACAGGATGGGGAATATCATACACTGGGACCTGTCATGGGCTGGGGGAAGGGGGGAGGGATAGCTTTAGGAGATATACCTAATGTAAATGATGAGTTAATGGGTGCAGCACACCAACATGGCGCATGTATACATATGTAACAAACCTGCACATTGTGCACAGGTACCCTCGAACTTAAAGTATAATTAAAAAAAGAAAAGAATGGGTGTAAATGGGGCAAAAAGATAAGATTCTGTCATCCCCAAATCCTGCTCAAACCAAACGATTCTTCAAATCTGAGGTCAAATAAAGACTTTTCCAAACAGAGACTTAGAAATTTTACTACACCAAATAGCTAAAATAACTGCTTAAGTATACATACCCTTCAAAATGAAGAAAATAAGTCCAGAAGAAAATAGCACGTTAAAGACAAATTATCAAACAATAAAATGTATAAATCTGTAGTAAACCTACACAAGGGTAGGATGTAAGTACAGTAACAGTAATAATGACTAATGGGAAGGGCACTAAACACAATGCCAAGCAACAATTTTGGATATGGAAAGGAGTGGCGATTGAAATTATAGCATTAAAATATGTGTATTGATTAGAAGGATAGTGATATTGATCAATTTTTACTTAACACTTGATGCAGTATTAAATATTAAAAAACTCAATAGTTGGCTGGGCATGGTGGCTCGTGCCTCTAATCCCAGCACTTTGGGAGGCTGAGGTGGGTGGATCACTTGTAGCCAGGAGTTCAAGACCTGCCTGGTCAACATGATGAAACCCCATCTCTACTAAAAATACAAAAATTAGCAGGGCATTATGGCGGGCACCTGTAATCCCAGCTATTCGGGAGGCTGAGGTAGGAGAATCGCTTGAACCCGGGAGGTGGAGGTTGCAGTGAGCGGAGATCGTGCCACTGCATTTCAGCCTGGGCAACAGAGCAAGACTCTGTCTCACAAAATAAAATTTAAAAAATGCTATAGTAATCACAAAAAGAATAGAATATTTAACTTCCAAATAACTAAAGGGAAAATAGAGAATGATGAAAATGTAATCAATCCAGTAAAACTCAGAGAAAATTTAAAAATGTAGTAAATAGAAAACACAAAATAAGATGGTAGAAATAAATTTAAGGGAGATAACTGAAAATGTGCAAGAAGATATTTAAATGCAAATGAAGTAATCAATGAAGTAATCTTTCTGGTTAAAAAACAAAACAAGTATCCTCCTATGGCTCCTAATTATCTCTCCAAATACTTTTGCTACAATGCATACAAGGTTCTATCTGGCTCTGAATCTTACAAGATTCTTTTGACTATAAGTGTTAGAAATTCAACCCAAACTTGTTTAGATAAAAATAGAAGACGAATTTTTTATTTGCTCACATAATCTAACACTTCAGAGTGAGAAGTAACTGGCACTAGAGATTCAAACCACCAGGACCATTTGTCTTCCTCCAGGTAAGCCTAGCCTGACACCTTGTAGAGTTCAGTACTTCTTTCTCAGGGTTCTGAGAATTTCTTGCATATAACTATATAATAGAAGTCATTCCATTGTGACTACCATTATTTACATGTCTGTCCCCCTGTCTTAGTCACTAAATCCTTTGAAAACAAATACTGTGCATTCTTCATCTTCATGGCCTCATCCTCTAGCGTAATACCCGACACATAGTAGTCAGTTAATCAATGTTTAATGAAGAAAGAAAGAGTGGATGTTTTGGATCGTTCTTATTTCTATACATATTCTCTCTTCCCTAACAGAAAGTCAACCTTTTGAGGTGCTTTTATTCCATCCATTCTACATTCAGTTCCTGTTCCTTAAACACAGAAGGTGCCTAATATATATTGAATAATATATATTAAATTAAAAATATATAATGAATAAAAAGAACTCCCTTCTTTTCTAATAGAATTGAGTTGTACAAATTAAATGCTATAACTTCTTTATGTTCAGCTTTAAATTTTCAAATGTTATTCTGAAATTACTACAAATGTGCTTTGTACCAAACACTGTGGTCAGCAAGTGCTGACTCAGCTTCTGCTCAAGTGAATGGAGCAGTGTGCTCCTTCTACATCCCAGACCCAAGTCTGTCTACACAAACATGAGCTCACCCTCCACTGCAGTCTTTCCCCCGCTATATTTCAGTGGTGGCTCAGTATTCCCTGCATGATACTTTCAAGCTGCATCAGTCATTTTTAATACTCCCACATGTCAATCAACAAAAGATTATCAATTTACCCCGAATACTACTCAAAAGAGGGTATTGATTGAACTTGACAACATTTAAGTAGAGCCTTAATTTATAGAATTAGCAAAATAAGAGAATGAAAAAGCTTCAATTAGTACAAATGTAGGTAATCATATAAAAGATTAGCCAAGGCACAGGTTGGGTAGGGCATAAAATTAGTGAGGACAAGGCACAACTTGTCTGGTAAGCAAATTCTCACCCTCCTTGTTCCACTGCCTTCTTATTAGACATTAAAAGCACTTAATTAAAACCAATAAGGAAATTATAGCAAGGAAAAAAATGGAGTGTAGCAGATATAATTAGAATTGTAAGTGCCTTGGAAAGCCTGCCTAGAATAGTTTTTCCAAGCTTGTCAAATTTCAGAGCTCACAAATCTTGTCACGCATCTCAGCTCAGTTCTTGGTCTCCCATCCCCCTCCGACTGCTCTTCTCAGCCTCCTGAGAATGCATGTATTTCCATATGCTTATTGTGTGTCTCATAAAATGCATTGCCTCTATATGAAAAATGTATGAGATGCACCATACCGTGCAAAACAATGTCTCAAAATTGGCCAATTATATTTTGTGCAAGTTCAGAATTGTTCATGATATTTCTAATACACTGCGCTTCTGGCTGTGGGGACTGCATTCTGCAGAGTTAAAACAGAGGGGTTGATAGCTTAATTGTGCTTAATAAATGAAAAGGTATTTAAAAATAACATGGAGAGTGATGCCAGTGTTTTTTAAAGGTCTACTTTAGCATTTACAAATTACATAAATAACCCTTTCAAAAAAAGGAGAAGTATATCATTTTTAAACTGTTTAAAGTGACTAGTCATTTCTCCCCTCTGTCTTTCCAAGATAGGAACTAAACCCCCTATCCAGTATTTCCATTCCTTCTTATCTGCTGCTGTATTTATCCCCAGGTGACTATTTCTCTCTCCTGACCCATCTTGCTGTCTGGTTTCCATCTATTAATCTTAGCCATTCCCTATCTTATGAACCTGCTTCCTGTGTCTTTTTTTTTTTGTCTTCTTCTATTACTCAAATACATATTCCCTAAACTCTTTTCCTTCTGAAGCTTGCATTGAATTGCTTTTGTTAGATTTTATTCTATCTTTTATTTATTTTTTATCATAAATCTCCTAGTTTTCCCAACTGCTTCCTGAAGTTATCTTATATTTCAAATGCTATCACTGAATTGCAGACATATAGGTTGTTTACCTAAATGTTATGTAAAACCTTCTGGTAACAGGAAAGAATTGTAATGATGTCCCCATGAAGATATTCTCCTAGCAGCAGTGTAACTAATGTATTGAGAGATGTACTTTTTCCATTTCCACTGATATCCAACGAAGAAAAGTCTGTATAAACCACAAAAAGAAGTAACTGTTAAACATAAAGGACTTTGAGACAGTTATTCTCCTGTAACACTGGTTACTAAGATAAGTTGAAACTCTCCTTTTTTAGGAGTCCTTAAAAATAGAAAACCTTCTCTAACTCCATTCACAAAGATAATTTTCTTCTCTTCACTCCAGAGTATTTATAACCTGAGCCACTCAACAACTAATTACGTCCTGCCTTATATTATTATCTGATTATTTTGTGGATATATAGCTTGTCATTTTAGCTAAATTATAAGATTTTTGGCACTAGGAATTTGTCTCCATTTATATCTCCTTCTCCTTAGTAATCTCTATAAATACTCTAATCAGAACACATTCGTGATGAATGATTGTTTAATAAATCTTGTTTTAATTAAAGAAAAGAGGGCATAGAGACAAAAATTCCTCAAGGTTTCTTCCAGTTTTATTATTTTCCCACCGTCTAGCTCCTTATTGGATTTCCCTCAATATCACGTGCCAGTACACTATTCTCATTTCCTCTGTTCCTTACACCTCACTTAGCTCCCCACTCAGGATTTTGTGATTAAATCCTCAGTAGAAACTGGAGTCAAGTTCAGGTGCTACTCAGTTTTCCTGCAAGAATCACTTTTTATGAAATGGTTATACTCACACTGAAATGTTTAAAATAACCCAAAAGGAATCGATATATTGAAGAGATATTTGTACTCCCATGTTTGTTGCAGCACTGTTCACAATAGCTAAGATTTGGAAGCAATCTGTTTCCATCAACAGATGAATAGATAAAGAAAATGTGGTACATACGCACAAGGGAGTACTATTCAGCCATAAAAACTATGAGATCCTGGCATTTGCAACAACACGGATGGAACTGGAGCTCATTATGTTAAGTAAAACAAGCCAGGCATACAAAGACAAATACAGCATGTTCTCACTTATTTGTGGGCTCTAAAAATAAAGACAATTGAACTCATGGAGAGTGGAAGGATGGTACCAGAGGCAGGAAGGGTAGTGAAGGGGTGAAGGGGTGAAGGGGACGTGGGGATGGTTAATGGGTACAAAAAAATAGAAAGAATGAATAAGACCTATTATTTGATAGCACAACAGGGTAAGTAAGTCAATAATAATTGTACATTTTAAAATAACCAGAAGAGTATAATTGGATCATTTGTAACACAAATGATCAGTGCTTCAGGGGATGAATACCCAATTCTCCAAGATGTGATTATTATGCATTGCATGCCTGTATCAAAACATCTCATGTACTCCATAAATATACACATCTACTATGTAGCCACAAAAAATAAAAAAAAAATTGGCTGGGCATGGTGGCTCATGCCTGTAATCCCAGCACTTTGGGAGACTGAGGCAGGCATATCACTTAAAGTCAGGAGTTTGAGACCAGCCTGGCCAACATGGTGAAACCCCGTCTCTACTAAAAATACAAAAATTAGCTGGGCATGGTGGCAGGTGCCTGTAGTCCCAGCTGCTTTAGAGGCTGAGGCAGGAGAATCGCTTGAACCCAGGAGGTGGTGGCTGCAGTGAGCCGAGATCATGCCACTGCACCCCAGCCTACATGACAGAGCGAGACTCCATCTCAAAAAACAAAAGTTCAGAATAAAAAGTCCAGTCAATTCTGAGGCTGAATGTTCTAAGATAGTGTTTTCCAAAATGTGTTCCACAAGAAGTTAATGAATTTTACACACAAAATTTTTCGTAGCAAAACAATTTTTTTTAATTTTGGAATAGCTGACTTAAACAATATTCAAAGAGTTTCTTTACTAAACAATTGGTCAGAAACCTTTACATGAAAATTATTGCAGTAAATCTTAAAAGAGCAATAGAATCTGCAGAGTTTACTTAACCACAGAAAATTTTTCTTCAGTAGAGTGGTCCCCAAAACACATCTTGAGAAATGTTTTAAGAATGAATGGATGAATAAAATCATTTTTGAATGAATTAGTTTACTGGAATCTTTTTTCTAATGGGATGTACATGCCTTGGAAAACACATGCTGCAACCAAACTTTCACTGACACTCAGAACTCACCAGGCCACTTAATTTGGTTTTACCTGTTAGAATCCCTCTTTTGCAGTTGTTAATCTGTCATATCTGTTGGGCATAAAGGTACATGACATGAACTGGGAAAAAAACCAATATATCATAGGTACTTTAATGGTAGCAAGCACATTTTATATGTCTTTTTTATCTCTATTCTCAATAGATCTTGACAATTAATTCTGCATTTGAAGAGATAATTGGGAATGTGAGGGGAAAGGAGCCATGCCATATGAGGAAGACTTATATGGATGCACAGCTTTCTTCAAATACCTAAAATGGGTGAGGCTTATTCTGTTTCACTCCAAAGAACCGAGCTGCAATGAATGAACAGAAAAGAGGCATAATTAGGTTCAGCATAAAAAAGAGTCTGTAGCCCTACAACTGTCCAAAAATGGAATAGAAGTTCCAGGTTTTCAATGACTATATTTTGATAATGCTATTGAGTAGATTCCTGTTCTTTGGAATCACACCAATATTGTTTCTAGAAAGAAAACTATTCATGTCCCTAATAACCACATTACTAATAACATGTTATCTGCTTTACCAATAAAAGATAAGAAGGTTTATTTTAAAAAGTACTGCATCTTAGTTATAGTTTATAAATATAGATGACTTTTATATAGTATGGGCTCAACGAATGGGGCTGTTATTGAATTATTTGCTTTTTTTGTACAAATTTTCCCACCACATCCATAGCAAACTATTCTTGCCTGTTTAAATTGCTTTTATCTGTCAGACTTCACAATTCTTTTCAACTTTAAGATTCTATGGGTAGAAATATTTGTTTCCTTTTGGATACATACCCAGTAATGAGATTGCTGGGTCAAATAGTAGTTCTGAGTTATCTGAGAAATCTCCAAACTGCTTTTCCCAGTGGCTGAGCAAATTTACACTCCCACTAACAGTGTATAAGTGTTCCTTTTTCTCCACAGCCTCTCCAGCATCTGTTATTTTTTGACTTTTTCATAATGGCCATTCTGACTGGTGTGAGATGGTATCTCATTGTGGTTTTGATTTGCAGTTCTCCGATGATGAGTGATGTGGTGCATTTTTTCATAAGTTTATTGGCCACTTGTATGTCTTCTTTTGAGAAATGTCTGTTCATGTCTTTTTGCCCATTTTTAATAAGGCTATTTGTTTTTTGCTTGTTCAATTGTTTAAGTTCCTTGTAGATTCTGAATATGAGACCTTTATTGGCTGCATAGTTTGTGAATATTTTCCCCCATTCTGTAGGTTGTCTGTTCACTCTATTGATAGTCTCTTTTGCTGTGCAGAAGATCTTTAATCAGGTCCCACTTGTCAATTTTTGTTTTTGTTGTAAGTGCTTTTAATAACCTAGTCATAAATTCTTTCCCAAGGCCAGTGTCCAGAATGCCCTAGGTTTTCTTCTAGGACTCTTACAGTTTGAATTCTTACATTTAAATATTTAATCCATCTTGAGTTAATCTTCATTGTAGTACTATTCACAATAGCAAAGACAGGGAATCAACCTAGGTGCTCATTAACAGTGGATTGGATAAACAAAATGTGGTACTTGTGTACCATGGAATACTATGCAGCTATAAAAAAGAACAAAATAATGTCCTTTGAAGCAAATGGATGCCTCTGGAGACTATTATCCAAAGCCAATTAATGCAGGAACAGAAAACCAAATACCACGTGTTCTCAGTTATAGGTAGGTGCTAAACAGTGGATACTTATGTACATGAAGATGGCAACAATAGAAACTAGGGACTACTAGAGTGAGGAGGGACAGGGAAAGGTTTGAAAAATGAACTATTGGGTGCTATGCTCAGTATATGGGTAACAGGATCATTCATACCCCTAACCTCAGCATCACACAATACACCCAGGTAACAAATCTGCACATGTACCCCTAAAAGCAAAGATCTAAAAGAAAAGTTAGAAAAAATAAAAATATCTAAAACTATTTTTAAAATAGAGCATAAATCCCATAAGCCAGCATAGAAAAGATGTTACAATATACACATTCATCTGAAATTAATAATTATACCTAGGTTTGTAACTGTCAGTAATTGTTTATGGAGCCTTGCTCAAATTACCCAAATTAACTTCAATCATTACAGAATGAAGTTAATAATAACATCCTAGTGTAACTAAGATATTCAATAAATATTAACACAATAATATTACCCAAAAAAAAATTCTATTGGTTCTTTTTCTCCCAAATGTATTTCCAGGGAAAACACTGACCCTGAAAAGTCTTGGACAAAGTTAATATTAACAAATGAATCCCAGTTTTGTACTGCTACCTTACCTCCTCCATACAAATGTTCTTCCTGCTTTACATACCTGTTCTCCAGTCTTTTGCCCCCTCCTCTAACCCATTTCACATCCTCCTCTTTGCTCACAACTCCCTGTCTCTTCATTCTTCCTTACCCAGCATCCATTTTGAATGACAGTTCTAACACAGAATCAGGAATTAAAATGGAAAAACTACTAATAAAGAGTGAGAGAGATTAAAAGCCTCCACGTGGCCATGTGGCTCACTATTATCTCATCTTAAGTCAAATATTGACTGATGTAAATAAATGCAATGTATCATCAATGCAAGGATCCTGTTGCTTACAAAATTAGAATCATTACTTTAGTTACCCTCAAATCATGCTTATCTCAAAATATAATTCAAGTAGGAAGAAATCACTTAATTTTTTACCATTGACTCATTACATTCCAGACCCTGTTATAAGCACTTTACATGTATAAATACAGAAGTACTTAAAATCAAGATGTTTTTAAACTAACATTTTTCTATAATTATTGATGCATAATTTATCACCTTAATTGATGTCTTATTTCTCATAAGCTTATTTATAAATTTTGTGTAAAACATATGAAAAGAGGTGTGAATTTTGCAACTAAAATAACTCATTATTAAATATCAAAATCAGGTTCATTATATACACATATGACAGGCAATAGGGAGTGCCTCAAATTACCATTCTGTATTTCACATATATTAAAAATCTACTGAAATATACTAAACTGATGTCAAATTAATGAATGTGTTGGCTATCTAGCATTATCAGCAGATATTATGGACCAAAAGCAATGTGTTAAAGAAAAGAATAAAAGAGATATTTCTAAAAGAGCTTGATGTTCTAAAATGAGATTCTGGGAGCATAGCCAGGCTCCTTTTCTCAAATCAGATATTTGACTCAAGTAAATTGTGACAAAAGTATAAGAGTATATACTCAAATAATGATAAGTTCATATATTTCTCAGACTTCTACTGTCAGCACTATAATCGCAGATCATTTTTACAAAAGCTAGAAAATTGTGTGAAGTCTATGTCTTCACAAAAGTAAATGTCTAGCAGCAAACCCACTTTAAAATAATTTTGTGTCCAGTGACAAAGTTGCATACCTCTTTTGCTATTTGACTATTTAGGGTTGTCCTTTCTTGAATTTTTATTTTTTTAATTTTTCCATAAGTTATTGGGGTACAGGTGGTATTTGGTTACATAAGTTCTTTAGTGGTGATTTGTGAGATTTTGGTGCACCCATTACCCAAGCAGTATACACTGCACCATATTTGTAGTCTTTTATCCCTCGCCACTCTCCCACTCTTTCCCCCAAGTCTCCAAAATCCATTGTATCATTCTTATTTAGGGTTGTCCTTTTTAACATACTTTCTAAAATTAAGACAAAATTTATGAAACAGTGGTTGTCATGACACTGGACTTCAGGTAGAGATGGAAAACAAAGGAGGTGAGCCCTATGATTGCTCCAGCTTACTGCCTTGAGGGAGTTTCCAAGCAGTGGCAGAAAAAAAATGGAGAAAACTAGGCAGAGCCTGGCAGAGTACTTGAGTTGAGGAGACAGGGTTGATAGTCCACAGAGAATAGAGTTCTGGAGAGAAGAGAGTTGCACAGGAGGGAACTCCAGAAATCTTCAGAGGGTGCTTTGAATCAGCATCTCACTAATCAGAACATCTGTGTTAAAAACCGTGTGGGGCTAGGGATTAGGAGAAACATTATCTGGCTCTCACAGGCAAGAAATGATACCTGCTTCCATTAGCCAGACAAAAAAACCTTATTTGCACAGGGCATTGAGTACTCAGAAAGGACTTGCATCCGTAGTGGGGAATAATTAGCCCTAGATTAAACACTTTTCTTGTCCCACCTAATAAATCTTAAAGACAGAACTCAAAAGGACGAACTGATTCCAAGTAACTTAATTGCATTCCAGAACAAAGCTCAGGAATACTTATAGGAGTACAAAAATATCTAGCTCCCAAAAGAGGTAAAATTTACAATGTTTATCATCCAATCAAAGATTTCTAGGCTTGCAAAAAGGCAGAAAAATATGACTCATGATGAGGAGAAAAAATCCACCAACCAAAAAACTGAGAACTGATGCATATATTACAATTAGTACACAGAAACATTAAAACAATTATTATGTTTAGAAAGTTAAACAGAGACGTAGAAGAGTTTTTCTTTTTAAGACCGAAATAGGAGTACAAAAACACCCAGCATCCACACCCAGCAATGTACATTTTACAATGCCTGGCATCCAATCAAAAATTACTAGGCATGGAAAGAAGCAGAAAACTGTGACCATAATAAAGACATAATTCAATTAATTGATATCAGCCAATAACTAACAGAGATGTTAAGTTAGCCCACAAGAACAATAGCATTGTAACTCTACATATATTCAAAAGTTAGATTGAGACATGGAAGACATAAAAAAGGCACAAATCAAACCTCTAAAGATAAAAACTCCTATGTCTGAGATGCATAATACACTGGATAGGATGAGCAGGAGGACAGACATTGCAAAGAAAATTATTAGTGAATATGAACAGATAGTAATAAAAAGCAACTCAAAATAAAGAAAAAATAGAATTGTTTTTTTAAAAGGGACAGAGTATCAAGGATCTTGGGAGATTTTAAAGCAGTCAAATATACATGAAATGATGTTCTACAAGGATAGGGATGATGGACACAGAAAAAATATTTCAAAAAATAACGGAATTTTCCAAATTTGACGAAAACTATAAACCCACAGATCCAGGAAGCGTAACGAAACTAAATCACAATTTCTTGAACAAATTGCAAGAATATTTATAAGAGTATAAAAGTATCCATAAATAAAACTACACCAAAGTACATTATAATCAAATTGCTCAAAACTAGTAATAAAGAAAATACCTTAAAGGTGCTTAGACAAAAAAAAAAAAAACCCAAGCATTATGTACAGAGAAATGCAGATAAGGAATCCAGAAGATTGCTTATTGGAAAGAATGTAAGTGAGAAGACAGGCAAGAAATGTCTTTAAAATACCAAAAGCAGATAACTGTCAATCTAGCATTGCACACTTTATAAAAATGACTTTTGAAAATAAAGTTTAATAAAAACTTTTTCAAACATACAAATTCTGACCAAATAGATTTGATGACTAGCAGAACCCCATCATAAGAAATGTTAAAAGAAGTCCCTCAGACAGTATGGAAATTATACCAGCTGCAAATATGGATTTACAAAAAAAAGGAATGAAGAGCACTGTAAATGATAGCTACATGGATAAATAAATATTTATAATAGCCAAAAACTGTAAATGCCCACCAATACATGAATAGATACACTGTTGTATAACTAAGAACTACACAACATAGCTTTTCCATACAGTCATATAGATGTCATTTCTAAAGAATACTATAAATTTGGTGTGATTTTCCTCTTAACTGAATAAATTATGAATTTGTTCATTTTTAAGTGTTTAATTTTTTGAGATTTTTAAACATTTAATTTGTTATTAGTATTGCTTTCATTTTTATGTTATGTATTTGTCTAATACATCCATTTATTTTTTATAAACTCTTTTTATTATAATAGAAGTTTTAGGCTGGGCATGGTGGTTCACACCTATAATCCCAGCACTTTGGGAGGCCAACGTGAGAGGATTGCTTGAGCCCAGGAGTTTGAGATCAGCCTCAGCAACATAGTGAGACCCCATCCCTGCAAAAAATAAAAATAAAAAAATTAGCCAGGCGTTATGGTGTGCACTTGGAGTCCTAGCTACTTAGGAGGCCAAGGTGGGAAGGCTGCTTGAGCCCAGTGAGTCATGATCACGCCACTGCACTCCAGCCTGAGTGACGCAGTGAGGCCCTGTCTCAAAAAGAAAAAGAAGAAAAAGAAAAAAAAAGAAAAAGAAAAAAGAAAAGAAAAGATTTACAAAGTCAGTGTATAAAATAGCATGAAGTTAAAAGTAAACTCTCTCCCCTTAGCACTTCCAGTCTCCTTCCCCAAGATAACCACTCAGTGATTTCCAGCGTTAAGTTATTCTGTAAGGGTTTTATTACTACTTCACATAAAATGCTTTTATCCCTGTTTCTTGATTTACAAAACTACATATATTTTCCCTCTTTTTTGATAATGTACTTAAACTAGGTTCTACTCCTCATACTCACTCTAAATCACTATTTTTGTTTTTTATATTACCATTTTTAGTGCTTTGATTGCCCACTGGAGATGGCCTTTATATCTGTGAATAATAAATTTGAGCCTTTTTTTGTGACACTTTATATGAGAATATATATCAACTCAATCTTGGCAAATACACAGTGCTTATTGTAGTTATTTACAAGACCTGCTTTAAAAACAGGTAAGGGTTATTTGGAAATAAATACACTCCTGACTAACAGTGGTTTAACTTATGATTTTTCCAATTTATGATGGGTTTATTGGGACGTAACCTCATTGTAAATCAAGTAGTGTCTACATCTTCTTCCTTTATGAGATACCTATCAAGATGTAGCACTTGGCTTGGCATGAAATGAATGTTAATTTCTATTCTTTCCCTTTAAGAACTTCCAAGCCACTGAAAAGCTTGAGCTCAGAAGAATTAGGGCTAGCTGGGAATAGGGAAGAAAGAGATAAGCGAAGCGCTGCTAACAATGAAACCCTAAGGAAGACTGAAGAGGAGAGATGACAGGGTGATTGGGGTATGGTCTTGCACCATTCTTGGCTGAAAATCTTGATAAGAATACATAAAACTATCGTTGGTGGCATTCAGCTATCAGAATAGCATTCCACTTTCATCAGCAGACCCTACGGATTCAAAAACAACAAACTAACAATAATAATAGCTATGATAATGAAAATAATGTTTTCAGTGCTAAGCAGAAAGTATACATTATGTTGATATTTTAAAATTAAATTATGACTGATCATCCACTTCAACATTTTTACACATTTTCTGTTCATTTTTACACATCCTCCTTTGTGTATTCACACCTTTCCCACAGCCCAGCACTAATATCCAGAGAGCTAGAGAATAGTCAACATGTGTTCATATGAATAACAATATCCAGCATATTTAGACAGAGCATAATACTGCTGGCATACATCCTAATCTCTAACTTGAGTATAAGAAAATAGTAGAAAAAATAATAATTATATTAGATACTTTGAAGAGTTGTAAAATTTTAAAGCCAGGAAAAATTATTGGGTTATTAATTATGGCACATGCAGTTTCTTTTAGTCTTACAACCGTGTCCCATGAAATGCATCAGATAAACTCTGGTGTCCTCCCACTGGTCATCATCTATGCTGTGACCCACTTGCCCCAATCCATCCTTGATTCACCTCGTTTCTGACCTTATTACACATGCATATGACCTATTGTTCATTCTCCTCACTGCTGGGATTTGACAGCCAGGACTGTCTTAATTCCTCACAAGTTCCTCCTTTCTACCTTTGGGCTGGCTTGGAGAAACACACCTCTCAGTTTTACCAGGTATAAGGCCCCCTATTTTGATACCACTCCAACTTCTATATTGAGTAGCATATTTACTAGTTTATTCCAGGCCTTTAAGGATGATTCAGATTTTTTAAAATAAAAAATAACTAAATACTTCTCTGCCTATTGTTGTGGGTTTCAGAGAGATCCTATTCTATATTAGGATAATGGTAATACCTTATATTTGCATAGAGCTTTCCAGTTTGCTCAATGCTTTCCCATATATGATCTAATTTGATTCTCACAATAACTTTAGGTATTAATATACCTATTTTGCCTATATATAGTACAAAATCATTATCAGTAATCATCTAGATTAAGAGCTTCTTTCCATAATGAGGACTACCATGTTACAGAACAGTCTTCCTATGGTAAACAATAAGAAAAGCTGCACCAAGTGTACATACAGATATTATTTCTTTGGAGGCATTACAGAGTTTCCAAGGCTTTAGAGAACCAAGGGGTCAAGGTCTCAAAAATTAAGGAAACCCAGAGGGGTAACTCCAACATTTGGAACTGATTTTCTCGTTAAGTCATTTGTGGGTTCCCCAAGTGGCTGCTGAGATGCTGGGAAACTGAGCAGAAAGTGGCAGCTAAGAGGCTAAAAAGCTGAGCCAAATTTCTGACAGTTTACAAAACTAAGGGACAAAAGTTAATGTGCAAAAAGAAAACTCCATTTTAAACTACTCAGGACTTCGGTTCAGACCACTAAAGGCCACCACCTTAGGAATGGAGAGAAAACAAAATTAAATCAGCTCTTGCAAAAACTGACTCACAGATTTGAATTAGCTCACACTCTAACTGGGTTAAGGTGAATGGCACACACCTTAACTGCCTGACAGATGCAAAAGTAATTTACCTGGGGATGTAGAAAGCACTGCTCAGAGCCTCAATCTATCCCTACAGTTGTTCATACCTGATGTTCTATAGTCAATCAAACACCGCTAGGCGCATCAGAAAACAAGACCATGTGGCAAAAAACAAAAGACAAATATTACAGAAATAGACTCATAGAAGAAACATATACTAAGTTATCAGACACACACTTTTAAATGTCTCTTATTAATATGTTGAAGAAAATAGATGAAGAGATGGGATATTTTATCTAAAAAATGAATCAAGTGGAAATTCTAGAACTGAGAAATTGAGAAATGCGTTCACTAATAGTTGGGTTCACAGTAGAAATAGACTCTCGGACAAAGATGATGAGTGAACTGAAAAGCCAAAAGAAAATATTCAGACTGAAGCACTGGAGACAAAAGGATGGAAAAATACAGAGTGGGGAAAGTGGGTGGAGTCAAGGAATGGAAAAGACAGATGGTATTCCAGAAGAAGGTTTGCAGTCCCAGAAGATGAAGGAAGAGAACAGTTCAAAAGCAACTTTGAAAAGATAATGGCCTTAAATTTTCCAACACCAAAGAAGACATCAAATCATAAAACTGAAAAGTGCTACCAATCACAATGAGGATAAATTCAAAGATAACTATACCTAAACAATGATAGCAAAACGACTGAAAACCAAAGACAAAGAGAATCTTGAAGCAACCAGAGGCCTAGTGGCCACATCATTTTCTTTAAAGGAAATCAGTAAGACTGAGCGAGAGCTGACTACTTTGCAGAAACTATGGAATCAGGTGACACTAATGAAAACTTCAAGTGTTTAAAGAAAGTAATTAATCAATAAATATTAAGCTAGAATTCTATTTCCATCAAAAATTTTCAGCAAAGGCCAGAAAAAGACATTTTCAGGCAAATAAAATGGATCCATGCTAAAGGAAATAAAGTGCTTCAGGAAGAAGGAACATGATGAAAACATAAAAATGCAGGAAGGAATAAAGAGTAATAGGAAGGTTATAAATGTAGGTAAGTCTAAGTGAATATTGACTGTACAAAATAATAACATCTAGGGACTTAAAAATATATAGGATTAAAACATCTGACCTCAATAACACAACATGGGAGAGAGTAAATGAAGTTAAAGTGTTCTAAGATTCTTTCATTATCTAGAAAATGATAAAAGTATGAATTTACATTAGACATTAATAAGTCAAGGCTGAATAGTATGAGCTCTAGAGTAACTTCTAAAAGAACAAGTAAAATTATATATAACTAACAAGTCAACATAAAGGAGAAATAAAATAGTATAAAATATTTTAATTAATTCCAAAGAAGATAAGAAAGAGTTAAAAACAAAGGAACATAGAAGAGTTGGAATAAATATAAAACAAATAATAAATTTAAATACAAATATATTTGTAACATCTTATTAAAAATATGCTAGGCTGGGTGCGGTGGCTCACACCTATAATCCCAGCACTTTGGGAGGCCGAAATGGGTGGATCATGAGGTCAGGAGTTCAAGACCAGCTTGGCCAAGATGGTGAAACCCTGTCTCTACTAAAAAATACAAAAATTAGTGGGGCATGGTGGCAGACACCTGTAATCTCAGCTACTCGGGATGCTGAGGCAGAGAATTGTTTGAATCCAGGAAGCAGAGGTTGCAGTGAGCCAAGATCACGCCACTGCACTCCAGCCTGGGTGACAGACAGAGACTCCATCTCAAAAAAAAAAAAAAGAAAAAAAAAGTCTTTATACATAAATATGTATATATGCATGCTAAATACTCCAATTAAAAGAGTGAAATAATTGAATTTAAAAATTAAATGTTATGCTATCTTATGAGACAGGCCTTAATATTAGAAGATAGAAAGGTTGAAAGATACATCTAGACAGATAAAGATAAATATAAATGAAAAGTAAATACCAGTAAAAAATATGCTAGTATAGTTATATTAATATCAAGTAAAATAGATTTTAAAGCAGGAAGCATTATAAGAAATAAAATGGACATATCATAATGATAAATAGTTGAATGTGTCAGGAACTATATTAATTTCTAATTAGTATGCACCTAATAATATACCTTTAAAATACATAAAGCAAATGACAGAACTAAAATGAGAAATGCATCAATCCCAAACCACAGTGATAGACATTAACATATTGTTATCAGTAACTGATAAAATACATAAAATCTTACAAAGAATATAGATTTGAGTAATACAAATAAACTTAACCTAATTGACACATATAGAACACTACCCCTACCAATGACAGAATTCATATTTTTTTCAGTGCACATGGAACAATGAAATCAAGCATATGCTTAGCAAAAAAGAAAAGCTTAATAGATCTCAAACTCTGGAAACATGTAGAATATTATCTAATGTGGTAGAACAAATTAGAAGTCATAACAAAAATATTATTTTTAAAACCTAAATAAGAAATTAAGCAATTTATTTCTCAATAACCTACAGCTCAAAGAAGAAATTATAGAATTAGAAAATACTTTAAATAACAAAAACTACAATGGTTCAAAATGTGTAAGATACAGCAAATGCAGTGCTTAGAGAGAAACTTATATAGTCTTGAATGCATTTGTTAGAAAAAAAGAAGGCAGAAATGTCCAAGCATTTATTTCAAAGACTCAGAAAAACAAATTCAAAGTAGAGGAAAAGATAATAAAGATAAAAGCAAAAATGATGGAATATAAAACAATATACAATAGAAGGAATCACTAAAGCCAAAAGCTAATTTAATCAAGACTAATGCAAAGTATAAACATCTAGTTAAACCATTCAAGAAAAAATTAGAGAAAGTCATAACTTACTAACATATTAAGAACTAAAATATAGACATTTCTATAGATAGTACAGATATTAATAAAGGAATTACAAAGAACTTTATGCCAATCAATGTAGTTATTGCAAAACAGAAAAATATCTTTCAATTAAACACAGTCAGCCTTTTGTATCCACAGGTTCTCTACTCATGGATTCAACCTACTGCAGATCAACAATATTTTTTACAAATGGACAGTCGCATCTGTACTGAACATGAACAGACTTTTTTCTTGTCACTATTTCTTAAGCAATGCTATATAACAGACATTTACATAGCATTTGTATTGTATTAGGTATTCTCGGTAATCTAAAGATGATTTAAAGTATATGGTAGGATGTGCATAGATAATATGAAAATACTACATCATTTTATAGAAGGGACTTGAGCAGCTATGGATTTTGCTATCTGTGGGGGTTCCTGGAACCAATCCCCCATAGATACCAAGGGATCACTGTACATAATGGAAAATCACACAAACACACATGCACGCACGCACACACACACACACACACTGCAATATCTCTGGGTCCAGATGAGTTCACTGTTAAATTAAATTGAAAAACTAAAGAAGCAATAATCTCCATTTTACTCAAATACTTCATGTAATAAAGAGGGAAGAAATGTTTCCCAACATATTTTATGAAGATAGCACTGTCCTCATATCAAAAGCAGACAAAGATATTAAAGAAAAGAAAAATACAGACCAATATCATTCATGAATGTTTGTACCAAAATCCTTAACTAAATACTAGCATATCTAATCCAGGAATAAATGTAAAAAATAACACAACATGAGAAAGAAGAGTTTATCCCAGGAATGCAAGGTTAAATTAACATTCAAAAAATCGTCAATGTAATTTGCCACATTAACTAAAAAAAAGATGGCAACTATATGACTATTTCAATAAATGCAGGAAAAGCAGTTGAAGACTCAACATGCATTTTGATTAAAAACTCTTAGCAAACTCGGAATAGATGGGAATTTACTTAAACTGATGAAGGCTATCTTTTTAAAAATCCACAGCATGATGGGGATGGCATTGAATCTATAAATTACCTTGGGCAGTATGGCCATTTTCACGATATTGATTCTTCCTACCCATGAGCATGGAATGTTCTTCCATTTGTTTGTATCCTCTTTGATTTCACTGAGCAGTGGTTTGTAGTCCTCCTTGAAGAGGTCCTTCACGTCCCTTGTAAGTTGGATTCCTATGTATTTTATTCTCTTTGAAGCAATTGTGAATGGGAGTTCACTCATGATTTGGCTCTCTGTTTGTCTGTTATTGGTGTATAAGAATGCTTGTGATTTTTGTACATTGATTTTGTATCCTGCGACTTTGCTGAAGTTGCTTATCAGCTTAAGGAGATTTTGGGCTGAGGCAATGGGGTTTTCTAGATATACAATCATGTCATCTGCAAACAGGGACGATTTGACTTCCTCTTTTCCTAATTGAATATCCTTTATTTCTTTCTCCTGCCTAATTGCCCTGGCCAGAACTTCCAATACTATGTTAAATAGGAGTGGTGAGAGAAGGCATCCCTGTCTTGTGCCCGTTTTCTTCACAGAATTGGAAAAAACTACTTTAAAGTTCATATGGAACCAAAAAAGAACCTGCATTGCCAAGTCAATCCTAAGCCAAAAGAACAAAGCTGGAGGCATCATGCTACCTGACTTCAAACTATAATACAAGGCTACAATAACCAAAACAGCACGGTACTGGTACCAAAACAGAGATATAGATCAATGAAACAGAACAGAGCCCTCAGAAATAATGCCACATATCTACAACTATCTGATCTTTGACAAACCTGACAAAAACAAGAAATGGGGAAAGGATTCCCTATTTAATAAATGGTGCTGGGAAAACCGGCTAGCCATATGTAGAAAGCTGAAACTGGATCCCTTCCTTAAACCTTATACAATAATTAATTCAAGATGGATTAAAGACTTAAACGTTAGACCTAAAACCATAAAAACCCTAGAAGAAAACCTAGGCATTACCATTCAGGACATAGGCATGGGCAAGGACTTCATGTCTAAAACACCAAAAGCAATGGCAACAAAAGCCAAAATTGACAAATGGGATCTAATTCAACTAAAGAGCTTCCACACAGCAAAAGAAACTACCATCAGACCGAACAGGCAACCTGCAAAATGGGAGAAAATTTTCGCAACCTACTCATCTGACAAAGGGCTAATATCCAGAATCTACAATGAACTCCAACAAATTTACAAGAAAAAAACAAACAACCCCATCAAAAAGTGGGCAAAGGACATGAACAGACACTTCTCAAAAGAAGGCATTTATGCAGCCATAAGACACATGAAAAAATGCTCATCATCACTGGCCATCAGAGAAATGCAAATCAAAACCACAATGAGATACCATCTCACACCAGTTAGAATGGCAATCATTAAAAAGTCAGGAAACAACAGGTGCTGGAGAGGATGTGGAGAAATAGGAACACTTTTACACTGTTGGTGGGACTGTAAACTAGTTCAACAATTGTGGAAGTCAGTGTGGCGATTCCTCAGGGATGTAGAACTAGAAATACCATTTGACCCAGCCATCCCATTACTGGGTATATACCCAAAGGAATATAAATCATGCTGCTATAAAGACACATGCACACGTATGTTTATTGCGGCATTATTCACAATAGCAAAGACTTGGAACCAACCCAAATGTCCAACAATGATAGACTGGATTAAGAAAATGTGGCACATATACACCATGGAATACTATGCAGCCATAAAAAAGGATGAGTTCATGTCCTTTGTAGGGACATGGATGAAATTGGAAATCATCATTCTCAGTAAACTATCGCAAGGACAAAAAACCAAACACTGCATATTCTCACTCATAGGTGGGAATTGAACAATGAGAACACATGGACACAGGAAGGGGAACATCACACTCTGGGGACTGTTGTGGGGTGGGGGGAGTGGGGAGGGATAGCATTAGGAGATATACCTAATGCTAAATGACGAGTTAATGGGTGCAGCACACCAGCATGGCACATGTATACATACGTAACTAACCTGCACATTGTGCACATGTACCCTAAAACTTAAAGTGTAATAATAATAAAATAAAAAAAAATCCACAGCAAACGTTGTGTTAAATGTTTCAATATTAAAAGATTTCCCCTTGAGACAATAATGCTTGCTATTCAAAATTGCACTGGGGTTCTAGCCAATGCAATAACACCAAATAAATAAATAGGCCAAAGATTGAGATAACAGAAATAAACTTGCTACAATTCACAAACAAAATATCTCTGTGGTCAAAAATTTATTTAAATCTACAGATGAACTTTGAGAATTAAATTATTAGTAATAAAATACAAGAAATTAATTTAGGAAGTTTCTGGATACAAAATCAGTATCTTTATATACAAGCAATGAACTACTAGAAAATGAAATTTAAGAATCAATAAATTTTGATGTTATTAAAATATCAAAAATCCACGAATAAATTTAACAAAAGGTATCAAAACCACTAGACAAAAAATTACTGAGATAAACTAGATCTAAATAAATGTCAGGATAAATCATATTCATAAATTGGAAGGTTCAATATCATGAGAAAATTAATTATATTCAAAAGTAAACTCTAAATGTCATGTACTCCCAATCAAAATCTCAAAAAAAAAAAAAAATAGAGAACCACACAAACTAGTACCTGATAAAGGGGCCAATGTAATTCAAATGAGAAGAGTCTTCTCAACAAGTGGTGCTCAACCACTTGGGTATCCATATACAGAAAAGAAACCCAGACACATAAATTGTACCCTGCACAAAAACTAATTCAAAATGAATCATGGAACTATATGTAAAACATAAAGTTTAAAACTTCTAGAAGAAAACAAAGGAGAAAGGTTGCATGACTTTGGTTTGGGTGATGTTGTTTTATATAAAATATCAAAAGCACAATCCACAAAAGTGAAAAACTTGACTTTATTAATATTAAAAAGTTTTCTGTGTTAAAAATTTTAAAAGAATCAAAAGAAAAGCCACAAACTGGAAGGAAATATATTTAAATTATAATATCTGATAAAGCACTTGCATTCAGAATATGTTAACAAACCTGCACGTTGTGCACATCTACCCTAAAACTTAAAGTATAATAAATATATATATATATAAAAGAACTCTTAAAACTCAAAAAAAAAGAAAGAAAAAAAGAAAAAGAACCCCTTTTAAAAATGGACAAAAGATGTCAACAGACATGTCAAATAAAAACATAAAAAGATACTCACCATTATATGTCATTAGGGAAATGCAAATTAAAACCACAATGAGGCATCACTACACACTTATTAGAAAGGCTTAAATTCAAAAAACTGACAATAACAAATGCTAACAAGGGGGCAGATCTACAGATATTCTCATTCAATGCTGCTGGGAATACAAAATGGTATAGCCACTTTGAAGACAGTTTGGCAGGTCCCGTAACATTAAACATAGATTTGCCACACCACTTAGTTACACACTCCTAGGTATTTACCAAAGTTACTTGAAAGCTTATGTTCACACAAAAGCCTGTATGTGAATGTTTCTGGCAGCTTTATTCCCAATGGATGAAAACTGGAAGCAACTGAGAATCTTTAACAAGATACATTTTTCAAAAAAGAGGGAAAAAAAGAACTGTGGCACATCCATTCAAAGAATGTTAAATTCAGCTATAAAAAGGAATGAGCTATTGATTCACACAATGACATGGATGAATCTTAAGTATATTATACTAAGGGAAAGAAGCCATGCCCAAAAGGACTGCATATTGTGTGATTTTATTCATCTGACATTTGGGGGAAGGCAAAATATAAGGAATTAAAACAGATGAGTGGTTGCCAGAATGTGGGGTGGGGTGGGGAATGATTGACTCCATTGAAATGAGAGGAACATACAGTGAAAGGGACACACAGAGCAGCTTTTAGGGTGAAGGGATGGTTCTTGGGTGATGGACACATGACTGAATTTGTCAGAAGTCATAGAACTGTACATTAGAAAAAGTTTACTATGTGTACAAACTAAAATTTAAAATGAGCTGACCTACATAACTTTGAAAACTGATGTTTTGACTAAAAAAACTATAAGGCTATACACCAAATGAACTATGCATAAACCCTGTACACTACTGGGTGAATTTCTTTCTCATAGAGATACAGATTAACAAATCTGAAGCTGTTTTATTTGTATACAGGGTTGAACAAATACATAATGAATGAATGAATGGTGAATACCAGGTTTCTCACAGTCAGAGAGTTACAGATAAACAAGAAAGCAAAGCTTGAATGAATCATACTACTGGATTAGAGTCAGAGATATCAGTATAAATTCATGCTTAGCTTAATATACAGTCATACTTCGCTTAACAATGAGGCTACATTCTGAGAAACGGGTCATTAGGTGATTTCATCACCGTGCAAACATCATAGAGTGTACTTACCCAAAACTCGATGGTAGAGCCTGCTCCTTACCTAAACTAAATGGTAGAGCCTATTGCTCCTAGGCTACGAATCTGTACAGCATGATACTATACTGAATACTGTTGGCAATTGTAACACGATGGTATTTGTGTATCTAAACATATCTAAATATAGAAAAGGTACAGCAAAAATATGGTATTAAAATCTTCTGGGTCCACCATCTTAAATCAGTCCATTGTTGACCAAAACATCAGTATGCAGTGCGTGACCTTATATACATACAGATGGGTAGATACAGAAATACCTAGAAATGTATGTGTATTTGTGGGTTAGTATTCATATCCATATATGTACAAAAATATGTTTATGCCATAAGGACTTATGCCATAAGATATGTTTATATATATGTACATATATAGATATGATAGATGTAGATATAGATTAGATATAGATATCTAATCTAAGCCTAAAAGCAATGATACACCAGTAACAACAAGCACACCCAGTGCCCAGATTTGTTTCCTAATACCATTCTCCAATAAAAAGAAGAAAAGCTCATTGGAGAAATGACTGATTCTAGGACTCAGGCAGGGAATAAAAAAGATGAGCCTAGGGCATCTCACCAGTACCAAAAATGAAGAAATGCTCCAAAAACAAAAGTATGTGTGCATGTCAAAGAGACACAGGAAACAAGCCAAAAAATTTCCCCATGGTCAAAACTGGGACAATTTGATCAACAAAATAAGCAAAGAGGTGCTGAATTATAACCCTAAGTATAAAGTAAATATACATGAGTCTACTATGATATAAATAAATAATTGAGTGAATGAATGAACAAAAGAGACAAGTCTATCTCACAGAAGAATTTCAGATAAGTAAAGATACTGCATCCTATGGAAATTAGAACATGGTCGGGCACGGTGGTTCATGCCTGTAATCCCAGCACTTTGGGAGACCGAGGCAGGTGGATCACTTGAGGTCAGCAGTTTGAGACCAGCCTGGCAAACATAGTAAAACCCCATCTCTACTAAAAATACAAAAAAATTAGCTGGGCATGATGGAGGACACCTGTAATCTCAGCTACTCTGGAGTCTGAGACAGGAGAATCCCTTGAACCCAGGAGGTGGAGGTTGCGGTGAGCCAAGATCGTGCCATTGCACTCCAGCCTGGGTGACAGCAAGACTTCGTCTCAAAAAAAAAAAAAAAAAAATGTAGAACATAATACCTGCCCTCTTTCACCAAGGCTGGCTAGACTTAATGACTCATTTCCAAAGAATAAAGTAAAAAGAAGAAAAAAAAACTGAAAATTGATAAACCTGGCAAATACTACTTTAACCACATGCCGAAAGTTAGCATCGCCAGCAATTTCATGTGAATATCATACCTTCAATATAACGTGATAAGAAGGGTACTTCAACTCTTCTGTATTCTTTCCAAAAACCCATAACCTCAAGATAGTCACAAGAAAAACAGCAGAAAACCCCAGATTGTGGACATTCTCCAAGATAACTGGCAGGTACTTCTTAAGACTTTCAAAGTCATAATGAAAATCAAAGACAGACAGAAACTATCATGGATCAGTGGAGACTAGCAAGACATGACAACCAAATGCAATGTGGTATGCTGGATTTAATTCTGGCAAGAAAGAGGACATTAATGGAAAAACTGATGAAATCCAAATAAAGTCTGGAGTTCAGTTAATAGTAATATGTCAATGTCAGTTTCTTAGTCTTGATAAATGTACCATAGCAACATGTTAACAATGTGAGAAACTGGATGAGGGGTATATGAGAAATCTGTGTTCTCTTTGAAACTTTTCTGTAAGTATAAAATTCTTCTAAAATTAAAACTATCCCAACAGAACATTTTGCAGAAATTGACAAGATAATTCTAAAATTTACATTGGAATGCAGTAGGTCAAGGATAGTCAAGACAATCGTGAAGAAAAAAACAAAATTGGAGAACTCATGCCATAAGATATCAAGACATCATACATCTATAGCTATGAAGACATTGTGGTATCAATGCAAGAATACAATAATGGAATAGAATACAAAGTCCAGAAACGACCTTGTATATATAATAAAAAGTACTGATCAATTGGATATATATATTTTTAAATGAACCTGGACCCTATCTCATATAATATACCAAAAAAAAAAATCAGATCTAGGTGGAATGTAGACATATATGTGAAAGGGGGAGGGGACGCCTCCAGAAAATAATATAGGAGTGTATCTTATTACCCAAGATGAGCAACAATTTATTAAACTAAGACACAAAAAAGCATTAATCATAAAGAAAATACATTATAAATTGGACTATAAATAAGTATAAGGAGTTAACTTTTTTTAAAAAATGAACATAAATTTCACATAACAGAATACCAAATGGCCAATAAACCTGTGATGAATATTTGCATGATTTTATTAATAGTCAGGCAAATGCAAATTTTTTTTTTTTTTTTTTTGAGACACAGTCTCCCTCTATCACCAGGCTGGAGTGTAGTGGCACAGGCTTGGCTTACTGCAAGCTCCACTTCCTAAGTTCAAGAGATTCCCCTGCCCCAGCCTCCTGAGTAGCTGGGACTACAGGCACACACCACCATGCCTGGCTAATTTTTTGTATTTTAGTAGAGACGGGGTTTCACCATGTTGGCCAGGATGGTATTGATCTCCTGACCTCGTGATCCTCCCGCCTCAGCCTCCCAAAGTGCTGGGATTATAGGCGTGAGCCACCATGCCCAGCCAGCATATGCAAATTTAAATCATAATAAGATGCCACTACACACTCTGCAGAGCAGCTAATATTAAGAAGCCAGAGATTACCCAGTGTTGTTGATGATACAAAACAACTGAATTCTCTTACAATGCTGGTGGGAATGTAAATTGGTACAATCACTTTAAAAAATGGTTTTGCATTATCAGCTAAAGCTAAACATACCCAGCAATCTCACTCCTAAGTATGCACACAAGAGAAATATGCAAAAAAGTACCAGAATCTTCATAGAAGTTTTATTAATAATAGCAAAATATCGGAAACAATCCAAACGTTCATCAGCAGTAGAATGGATAGATAAATGGTGATATACATGGAGAATGATACAGCAAATAAAAATGAACACATTGGAAAGCCTAGCCAGAGCAATCAATCAGGCAAGAAGAAAAATTAAGAGGCATCCAAACAGGAAAAGAAGTCAAGCTACCTCTCTTCACTAATGATATGATTCTATACTTAGAAAACCCTAAAGAATTCACCAAAAGGCTACTAGAATCGAAACTATTTTAACAAGGTTTCAGGATACAAAATTGATGTACAAAAAGCAGTAGCATTTTTTTACACCAATAATGTCCAGGTTGAGAGCCAAATAAAGAACACAATCCCATTTACAATAGCTAGAAAAAAAATGAAATACCTAGGAATACAACTAGCCAAGGAGGTGGAAGATCTCTATAAGGAGAACTATAAAACACTGCTGGAAGAAATCAGAGAAAACACAAATAAATGGAAAAACATGCCATACTCATCAATTGGAAGAATTAATATTGTTAAAATGGCCATACTGCCCAAAGCAACTTACAGATTCAAAGCTTTTCCTATCAAACTACCAACATTACTCTTTATAGAATTATTTTTTAAAAAAATTCTAAAACTAATATGGAACCAAAAAAGAGCCCAAATAGCAAAATCAATCCTAAGCAAAATGAACAAAGCTGGAGGCATCATTCTACCCAACTTCAGCCAATACTATAACGCTACAGTAACCAGAACATCTCATATACATAATGCTGAGGACAAGAAGATCCCCTACAGGCACATATTTCAAAAACAAGCAAAATTAATACAAGCAACAGCAAGAAAGCTAATGGTTACCTCTGGAAGTGGACTCAGGAGGTTATTCTAGAATGCAGGTAATATTCTATTGCTTCACCTGGGTGATGAAGACAGAAGTGTGTTCAATTTGTTATATTTCATCAAGCTGTATATTTACATTTTTATACTTTTCCATATGTATATTTATTCTTCAAATTAAAAGTTATTCTTAAGTATAAAAAAAAAACCAAAATTGCGTAAACCTCCAAACTCTAAAGATCATATGGAAAGGAAGAATAATAATTCTGAAAAGAAATAGACCCTGAACCCAACAACTAATATTAATCAAACAAGTGAGATGTGTTTCCTTTTAGTTCAGCAAACATCAAATGACGACCCACTGTATTAAAGTCCCATAGTTAGTGCTATGCAGAGCACTAAGAAGGGAAAGACAGAGGCTCTCTCCTGCCTTTCCCTGCCCTGTACTAGCCAACCCCCTCCTACGCTATTTCTAGGCCTTCATATAAATAAATTTAAAACTATGTATTCCCAATTTCTACCTTACTTTACAGAAAAGTGTATAGCTAACACTAGTGCTTCTCCCCAACCTCCCGCAGAAAAAAGGAGAAACTTAACTGATTGATGAATTAGGGAGGAGCACCTAGCATTTTATGTTCATCAATCTCCTGTGTCTGTCTGTCTGTCTGTCTGTCTTTCTCTCTCTCTCTCTCTCTCAGTTTCGAACTTAGAAAGGGAAACAAGGTTATTTAACACCCACCCCTCAACCCCAACATGTATTATTACAGGTAATTTATAGATAAGGAGAATGAGAGTCAAAGAAGTTTAGTGACTGCCAATGCCAAGATAGGACCTATGACTACCCAACTCCAAAATCCATGCTTTTTCCGATGTATCACACAGCTTCCAAAACAAATAATATGAAAGTAAATGATGGGTAGAGATTAATTCCAACTGGCAAGATCTGGGATGGCTTCTTAGAAGAGCTGAGATTTGTTACCTGGGTTTTGAAAAATAAACATGTCTATACAAATGACGAAAGGCAGCCACCTTTTTCCTTTCTAGAAAAATAGTCTCCCTTTTATTTAAAAAACCACACAGTTTTCTAAGTTTGTCTGTGGGCAAGAACATCTGTTTATGTGGAAATATGCAAGATGAAGCATTCATTTACCCAGTTCTGGCCTAATCAGGGTAAAACTGAATGGTAGACATCATGGTGGTTTGGCAATTTGTGCAAACCAGACTCCAGGTGGCCTTCTGTCTCCCTCAGCAACCCAGAAAAAAAAAACAGAAGGCTATTGTTTTCTTAAAGCTCTATCTGCCTTAGATGAGAATATTATCTAGTTGCCTTTAAGCAGGTCATGCAATTCCATGCCTTAGTTACATGTCTAACTCCCATGAACTCCAACGTGCAAGGCATAAAATTTAATCTGGAAATGATCATCTATTCACTCATCTGCTCAGCAAATATTTCTGGAGCATCTTCTACATTTCAAGATGTGTATTGTGAGCTGTGAAGAACACAGAAGCTAGTAAGATTTTTGTCCCTGCTTTCCAGGAACTTTAGTCTCCCCCATTTCCATGTTTTTAATTTATATGCTAATTATTCCTAAACCCAAGCCTGATCTTCACACATGAACTCAAGATTCATAAACCCAAATGCCTACTAAAAATCTCCTTTTGAATGCACAATAGGTGCCTCAAACTCACTGTGTTTGGAATTAAAATCTGCATGTCCCCTCCTCAAACCTACGCAAACATCCATCTGAACATCCTGTCTGGAAACATGGGATTCATGTATGTCTCTCTGTTCCTCACTCTCTACAACCATTCAATCACTCCTTCTTCTTTTCTTTTTTTTTTTTTTTTTTTTTGATACAGGGTCTCACTCTGTTGCCCAGGCTGGAGTGCAGTGGTATGATCATGGATCACTGCAAACTTGACCTCCCCAGACTCAGGGCATCCTCCCTCCTCAGCTTCCTAAGTAGGTGGGACTATAGGCATATACCACAACAGCCAGATAATTTTTGTATTTTTTGTAAAACAGAGTTTTGTCATGTTCTCCAGGCTAGTCTTGAACTCCTGGACCCAAGCAATGTACCCGCCTCAGCCTCCCAAAGTGCTGGGATTACAAGCATGAGCCATTGCACCTGTCCTTCCATTCTAAATATTTCCCAAATTGATTCTTACTTCTCTATCCTTAAACTGCTATGCTGATTCAAGTCATTACACTGGTCTGCAAAGGGCAATGGCCATCTAAAACTTTTCTCTCATATTCCATTTGTTACATAGAATCTAGTTTAAAATACAATCTGATGCCTCTTCCATCTTAAAACGCTTCAATGAATCCCTAACATGGCATAATAAAGAACAAGCTCTTTACTTGATACTTTAAGTCCCTCATAATCTAGCTACTACATATTTCTTCAGCCTGCATTGCCACTTCAGATTTCAAACTTAATGGTCTAGTAAAGTTTCTATAAATTTCCATACTATTACCTGTCTTCATGCCTTTGTTCGTTATTCTTCCCTCTCCTTGTTCTGCCATTTCTTGCCTTTCGCTTTATGCTAATTCTTATTCATTTGAGAGGCTCAACTGATTCTAATAATCCTTCCTCCAAATTTCTAGAATATACCTTCCTCTTCCCAACCATATTATATTTACATCAACTATTTATACACAAATCCCAGAAGGATCAGAACTGTGTCTTAGTGTTTTTGTCTCCAACAGCCGAGTTTCCTAGTATATAGTAGGTACTCATCATATATTTATAGGTAATCAGGCTATTTGTAATCAAGACAAAGAACACTAAACAAATTGTGGTATATCCATAAAATGAAACACTGAAAACAAAAAAGTGTGAAATTTGGACACATGCAATGACATGGATAACTTTTAAAAGTTCTACACTAAGAGGCCATGAGTGGTGGCTCATGCCTGTAATCCCAGCATGTTGGGAGGCCGAGGCAAGAGGATCACTCAAGCCCAGAAGTTCAAGACCAGTCTGGGCAACATGGCAAAACCCCATCTCTAGAAAAAATAAAAAATTAGCTAAGCATGGTGGCGTGCACCTGTAGCCCCAGCTACTCGGGAGGCTGAAATGGAAGGATCACTTGAGCCTGGAAATTTGAGACTGCAGTGAACCGTGATGGTGCAGACATCACCATCTGGTGATGTCTGATGGTGCAGCCTAGACAACAAAGAGAGACCCTGTCTTTAAAAAAATAAAATAATTAAGCTGAAGAAAAGAAATACACCTAAAATACTGCATACTGTATGATTCCATTTATTAAACATTATAGAAAAGGCAAAACTTTAGGGACAGAAACAAGGGCATTGGTGGCCAGCATCTTGGGGTAGAGGGAAGCAACTGACTGCAAAGGGGTTTGAGGGGACTTTGGGGGGTGATGGAGGTGTTCTATAACTTGATTGTAGTTATAGTTATGTGAATGCATACATTTTATCAAAATGCATGAGAACATATTCTTTCAAAGAGTGAATTTTATCACATGTAAAATTATTCTTTATAAAATACCATAATTGATATAAAGCAACATATTGTGAGAAATAAAAGGACCAAAAGCTCTGATTTGAGGAATCAGAGAAGGCCTCACCAAGGAGAGAATGGATAGTATTTGCATAGTTGGATAATGGGAGGTAGGACGCTCCATGCTGATATTCCAAGTTCTATTGCCACTTGGTTGAGGAGCAGTTACAGGAATGATAGTATCTGTGGCTTGGAAATGCTTTGTATATAATTTTCTGCTACTAATTGTTACAGATATTAAACATGCTAAGTCTTCCAGAAACCAAACATAGTGGCCTAATACACTCTTCATTCCTTTTTTTTTTAAGATAAATTAAAAAACATATCTCCCCACTCCTCAAACCTCCTCACACCTCCACATACACCACTAGCTACAATTAGCACGTAATTACTGAAGTCTTCTTTTTGCTTTTACTCCTGATGAGACAGATATTGGTTCATTTCCAAAGCAATATTCTTGGATCATTTTTTAACCTTTTCAGTAAACAGAGGACCGGTCAAGCAAGTCACAGTTTCACCATAGATCTTATTAGCTGATTAAAGAGATGCCTATAAAATCAGAAAAATTGGAGTGGAAAGTGTTTTGTACTTTTACAGAGAACAGGCTGTACAAGGTACACCTAAATATACCACAGATGGCCCCAAACCATAACTCGTCATTAGTAGGTAAAATGCCTCATGGTGACTACATCTGTGTGGAATTAAAATCCTGGTATCCAAAATTTAAACAAAGCATTTGTGGAATACTGCCTGAACATACCAAAAGTCCTATATTTGAGGACATTTTCTAAAGTGAACACAAGGTTGAGAAATGTGTAATTGATCTTAGAATCTTTGAAGGAATTCACGCAGCTAGAATACTTCTAATAGGGGCTGGTCAGTACAGAGGTCACTCCTTCTTAGGAACAAGCAATGTGTTGTTAGCCAATCAGAGTAAATCTAAACTCATAACCCTAGTATGTGTGGGACACCTTCATGAGGTGCCTACAGTGTATCCAATTTTATTGCCCTCTAATGGGTTACCTGAATTGTTCACAGCCACAATTAGGCATCATTTGATACATAAAACCCCATTTCTGCTTATCTTGGATCAGGTTTTGCTTAAATATGATTGTGTCAGCATCTCAGTGGCAAAACAACATAGGCCACCACTCTGGAGGCTGAATTTGAGGTGCCTGCCACTGGTGGCCTCATTACATGACCTCTATTTTAAATCAGACCATCCCAAACAAACCCATATTCAGTGAAAATGTGTCCAGCCATTTCAATATGAAACAATAGTGAAGTCCTTAACTTTATTTATATAGATTATTACTCAAAGTAGCCCCTCTGGGCCAGGCGCAGTGGCTCATGCCTGTAATCCTAGCACTTTGGGAGGCCAAGGCGAGCATATCATGAGGTCAAGAGATCGAGACCATCCTGGCCAACAGGGTGAAACCCCATCTCTACTAAAAATACAAAAATTAGCCAGGTGTGGTGGTGCACACCTGTAGTCCCAGCTACTCAGAGGCTGAGGAAGGAGCATCGCTTGAACCTGGGAGGTGGAGGTTGCAGTGAGCCGAGATCACCCACTGCACTCCAGCCTGGTGACAGAGCGAGAGACTCTGTCTCAAAATAAATAAATAAATAAATAAATAAATAAATAAATAAATAAAAAGTAGCCCCTCTGCCCCAGCTACATCTACCATTGTTTGCAAACAACTTCAACCTTTCTATCATATCCCCTTATGCTTTTCTTCATTATACCCAGATATGAATTACTTTAAAATCTAGTAACCCCAAAAAAGGCATGAAAAACTGGATGGAATAGTGTTATTTTTTTAAAGCATGAAATTTTTTATATTGCTATTAAAGAATAAGTAGCTACTGCTTCATTCATGATGTTGATCTATAAATATAGGTTGAGATATATTACCTAAATGTTAAAGATAGCTACTAGTTATACCAACATGGAGTTCATAACTTCCAAAGCAGTTAAGAAAAAAAAAAACTAAGAAAATCTAGTCAATACAGAAAAGAAGAAAAGAACAAAAGAGAGCAGTATGCAGACAATAGAATGAGATAGATGGCAGAAGTAAAGCCATGCATATCAGTTTTCGTAAGAAAAGTGAATGAGTTAAACTCCTCTGTAAAGGCCAAACACTGTCTCTGTGATTAAGCCAAAAACAAAAAACCTCAATTGTATGCTGCTTATAAGAGACACACCTAAATTAAAATGGCACAAAATGTTCAAAGAAAATAAAAGAAGAAGTACTCATATCAACATCAGACAGAGTAGAATTCAAAAGTACTAAATAAAGAAAAAAGAGCTATTTTATATCAATGAAAGGTTTACTCTACTGTGAAGATATTACAGAACTAAATATTGGCATGCCAAATATTGAGATATATAAAGAAAAAGCTATTCAAGTCACAACAAAGAATTTTCAAGAGTGAAATTATAAGTGGGTTTATCTGTGACAGGTTAAATCGACAATGAATAAGAATATAGAAGTCAGATAACATAAAAAAGTCTTAATAATAGATGCCTGCTAAATTCTGCACACTGAGAATATGCTTTCTTTCCTAATGTTCTTGGAATGTTTACCAAAACATGTAAAATAAAATGCTATAAAGAAAACTTCAAAACTTCCAATAAGTGACATAATACAGGCTTCATTACGTGACTCTATTTTTAAAAAAGTTTAAACATTAATTATACAATTAGCAATTTTAAAATATAAATAACTTGAGTTGAAAGAAAATCAAAATTCTTAGTATAAGCTATTTAGAAAATAGCAGTGGGAACTATCCATCAAAACGGATGGCAAAAGCTGCCCTCAGAGAAAAATTTATAGCTTTAGGGAGTTTATTAATAAAGAATAAATGAAAATAAGCAAAATATTCAACTCAAAACTCTAAGAAAATTAAATTAGACATCTAATATTTCACCTCTCACACTGAAAAATATTAAAAAGAATTAAAATACTTATTACTGACAAGTATTTGAGGATAAAAATACTATTGAGAATTCTATAAATAGGTACAAATCTCCTGAGGTTTGCCAATAAGCATCAAAATCCCTAGCACTTCTATTTCTACAAGTTTATTCTAATGATAGATTTGCTCAAAGATACATATAGCTTTGTTTTGTTTTGAGACAGAGTCTCACTCTATCACCAACGCTGGAGTGCAGTGGCATGATCACTGCTCACTGCAACCTCAACCTCCCTGGAGGGCTCAGGTGATCCTCCCACTTCAGACTTCCAAGTAGCTGGAACTACAGGTGCACGCCACCACACCCAGCTAATTTTTGTATTTTTTGTAGAGACAGGGTTTTGCCATGTTGCCCAGGCTGGTCTCAAAACTCCTAGTCTCAAATGATCCGCCCACCTCAGCCTCACAAAGTGCTAGGACTACAGGTGTGAACCATTGCACCTGGCCATAGCTTGGCATTAAAACCATAAAACCTGTGCCTGTGAACAGTTAAGGGTTTAACGGGGAAAAAACTAATATTAAAAGCAAAAGAAGAAGGCAATACTGTTTAATGATTCAGGGACCTATTATTATAGCCGTTATATACCGTGGTTATACTGACATTTTTTCTAGAACCAGAATTGCAAAGAGGAAGTTTTTGCTACTTGTACCCATAAGATTTTTTGAATTAGTCCTTTCCCCCTGCACACCTTGCTTACTCCACCTCAGTCTCTCTAATGCTGACAGAAACAAAAGAAAGGACATCGTTGCTTAATACAAACACCTACCCATCTTAAAACCAAGGCTCCTCTCAGCAAAGAGGTCTCCAAAAACCACATCAATTTGTAATAATTCATGTTCCACTGAAAGCAGTTCCTCACACATCAGTAGGCACAAGGATGCACATGACGTAATCTATCACCAAGCTTGTTTCTTTATCCTTCTAGTGGATAACAATGACATTAGTCATTCACAAGACTGTAAAGTGGAATTTTAACAAGACCCCAACTTCCATTTTACTTACTCCTTTCCCCCTTTGAAACCCAGTAGCTCTTGCAGGCAACTGTCTACCCTTCTCATTTTCAATCCTGTTCTCCAGAAGGTTCTTAATAAATTTATTCAGACTATGACAATAGTAAGGAAATTTATCTCAGACACTGTTTGCATTAGAACAGTGGTCAAAGTGATTACTGGCGTTTTAAGGCAGGGAGGGAAGTTTTCCAGGGTGCCTGAAAACCCAAAACACAGAATATGGCCTAATATAGTCCAATCTGAAGAAACATCATGCCAGTTACATAAGGTTACTGGAAAACTTTGAAATCTTCAAGTATTCTAACTTCACAGCAGAAATTGAATCAATAGATGAATGAAGGATAGATGACAGATTGATAGCTAGCTAGCTCAGTCTTGTATAAGACAACAAGTTTGTCTCTTTTCAAATGTTCTGGCATGTCCTATTATCTTCCTGAAACATCCTATCAACTTCCTGAAGTGGAAATGTGATTAAATAAACATGACAATTCTAGATGAGCTTTCAAAATGATACAAAAGGGGTTCAGGTTTATTTATAGGGTTTCTGCCTGGGAATAGAGGCAGATGCCTGAAGGACACCATTGCATTAAGATACACTCATTTATATCTTGTAAAACTCTCATTTTACTTTGACATCCCTTAATTCTGCATCTCTTTCAGCTCCAGCAGTGGGTTCTTAGTTCTCCTTAGCCATCTTCTCCTTTTACCTGCTGCACTATTCTGGGTAACTGAGGCAACCCCTCAGTTACCCCTTTGAAGCCTAGTAGCTCTTGCAGGCAACTGTCTACCCTTCTCACTTTCAATCCTGTTCTCCAGAAGGTTCTTAATAAATTTATTCAGACTACGACTATAGTAAGGTAGTAAGGAAATTTATCTCAGACACCGTTTGCATGAGAAGTTACCCCCGCACTACTGCAAAGAAAACTCTGGGCAAAATTTTTTAATCATTCATATCGCACACATTGATTTTAAAGCAGATGGTTTTCACTCATTGAAGCTGCCCATAGTTGTATCCTTGATGCTTGCTGCTATTATCAAGCCTTCTCTCCTTAAAAAGTAGAAAAAGAAGTCAGTTGCTTCCACGTTGTTCCCTGTCTGACTAGCATCTTCCCTAGGGGAACCCATGATAAATCCAGATTTGTTGGAAGCTGTCACATAATCTGTTACAAAGAATAGTTAAAATATCTTATAATAATAAATGCTGTGATGGTTAATATTAAGTGTCAACTTGATTGGATTGAAGGAGGC
This sequence comes from Homo sapiens, assembly GCF_000001405.40. Lineage (NCBI taxonomy): Eukaryota > Metazoa > Chordata > Mammalia > Primates > Hominidae > Homo > Homo sapiens. Next base: position 42,860,898 of record NC_000012.12, on the reverse strand, counting down.
AAAGTATTGTTCCTGGTATATCTGTGAGGATGTTGCCAACAGAGGTTAACATTTGAGTCAGTGGACTGGGAGAGACAGACCCATCTTGAATCTGGGTGGGCACCATCTAATCGGCTGCCAGTACATCTGGAATAAAGCAGGAAAAAGAACGTGGAAGGACTAGACTTGCTAAGTCTTCTGGCCTTCATCTTTCTCCCATGCTGGATGCTTCCTGCCCTTGAATATCAGACTCCAAGTTCTTCAGCTTTTGGACTCTTGGACTCACACCAGTGATCTGCCAGGAGCTCTCAGGCCTTCTGCCACAGACTGAAGGCTGCACTGTCAGCTTCCCTACTTTTGAGGTTTTGGAACTCAGACTGGCTTCCTTGCTCATCAGCTTGCAGACAGCCTATTATGGGACTTCACCTTGTGATCTTGTGAGTCAACATTCCTTAATAAACTTCCCTTCATATATACATCTATCCTATTAGTTCTGTCCTGCTAGAGAACCCTGACTAAACAAATGATTTACATGTTTGGGGGTGTATATAATACAGACCATAATGGGTTTATTCTCACCCACTTGCATTGAAATATCTATTCCTGGGAGGCAGAGAAGGTGACAGAAAACCCAGTAGGGCTGATGATGTGATGTGAAGGAAAGTGTCTATTCATGCTAAAGGCAGGAAAAAAAAAAGGGTCACTGCCTGGACTTTTCCGTTCTCTTTCCTAATCGCCTAATCTGATACAAGATTCCAGGTCAATGAATTTTGTTTTAAAAATCACTATCATAAGCCCTTTTTGAGGGAGGTGGAATAAAAGAGAGAGAGAGGAGGGAAGGAAAGGGAAGAAGAAAGGAATGAAGGATTTGATCCCTTCTGGCACCCTTTCACCAGGACTTAGCTCCATGTGGCCTGCTGGAAGTAACTAAGGGACTAACTCATGGGGGCAACTTTATAGTTCATGAAAGAGCAATTGCTGGAGTCAGGGGAAGAGGAAGTTGCTGAGTGAGAGAAATGGCCAAGCTTGGAGAGGCATTTTGGAACAAGGCGGGCTTTGTGGTGCCTCCTACATTATCGCCTCTTGGGGCACTGCCAGCTTGCCCACTCACTAGACAGCCGCTCCATCGCAAGGCTCTCTGTGCCTCCTGTCAAAGATCTCCGCTAATTCCTTTAGCCAAACTAAACAATTATGCAAAGTTTACAAGAAAGGCATAAGATATATTTCATACTCTCAAAGAGCTCGGAGTCCAATTTTCCACGGTGGAAATCTCTTATACTTTGTAAACTATCCGAGGCACCACAAAAATTTTTCAACAAAGGGCAGATTGAAAACCAATTTGTAACTCTATTTGTGCTAATATTTCATTTTCTCCTGGTTTCCAAGAAATTAACCAGCTGCCTGGTCCAAAGGTAATGATAAAGTGAGCCCTAAATCTTCAGACCAAAGTTTGGGAATTCTGCTCGTCCAGCTTTCATAGAAAGGAATGGAAGTAGAACCTCAAATCACACATCAGGCTGCTAAGACCCCCTCCCCTGTCTTTAAATCAGCTATAACTAGTGCTTAGGGAAGAATCTGAACAGCAGAAGTTTCAAAACAATGGGTCTTTTAATTTCCAGTGTGTATGTTCTGTGATATGAAACCCTAACATTTAAAAATTTACCATGTATTATAATATACAACTCAGCTTTTTTTATGTTTAAAACATTCCCCACATTCCAGAGTGCTAATTTGAGGCTAAATGCCTGGAAAAATGGCTCCCTTAACCCCTTCATTGACATATAAGACCATTTCATATTTCTGTTGTCCCTAACTGCAAAGTTTTGATTGATGCATCACAAGTTCTGGGGTTCAAACAAAGTCTTTAAAAATTAAAGTGGGATGAGGAAAAATAGCAAAGAGTTGGGCAGTTTTACAGTCCTTGTTTCGGTCAGATGTGTTCCATTCAACTGCTGTTTAGCAAGGCTGACTAAGATGAGCGATGAGATGGAAAGGGGTTGAGGCGTGGACAGGGGACATTGAGGGAACAGACCCAATTTAGTGGATTTCTATGGAACCAACAGAAAGGATCCTTGATAGCTGAAAGCTATGGTAGCAGCCAGCAAGATAAAGCTTTATCTTTATCTCATGTTCCAGGAGGATCATCACAGTTGAGAAGGAACTTTAAGTAGCTAATTTGAAGTTACTTAGTTAGATTTTCTGATTTTTCTTTACAAAGTTTAATGATGGTTACCTTTCAGTCTTTAACCAATATTTTAAAATTATAACGTAGAGGTCACTGGAAGAAAATACGTGCTTCCGTTTCCATTTTATGAAGCTCAAGAGAAAAGAAAAAGTCAGTGTAGTACTCAAGGGAAATCTGCTTTTAAAAGCCAATGATTTCTTCTGTATGACTGCTCCCTAAGTTAATTTAAGCAGCTTGTTATTTGAAAACTATGTTATATTTTGGAAGGGGTAGTACTGCCTTTTTTTAGTCCTCTATTGAGAGAAGTTGAAGTGTACAGGCATAATTCCCCATTTCCTTCTGTCATCCTAAAGTAGATGCTTCTTCACGTGAGACAGGAAATCACAAAATACTCAAAACTATTTTAATATATTTTAGAATTCTACTGTGTAAACTCCACGGTGCTTGCTTGCACATTGTCAACGGAGGGTAAATAATACTTAAATGAGTATCTACTTTCTCAGCCAAGAGGACTATTTTCCTACCAAAATCTCCTTCCAATTTGACTTAATTATGCTCTAAAATGCTATCAGCAACGTTAAGTGTACTGTAAAATTAGAATTGTATTATAGTTTGTGTTCATTAGTATCCCCCTTTTGGTCTCTGAGAAGCTTTAGAAAGACTTCACACTCTTGTGGCTTAAAGAAATACCTCGCTACAGTTTCTAGAATAGTCCTGAAGCTGGGAGTGCACTGGGAGCCCACATTCCCCTCAGTGTCAATGTTCTAACCTATTTCCAAAGCAGCTCATTAAATCACACTTTCCCTTTGTATTGTCACCTACTGTTAGTTATTCTCATATATTTCACCCAAAAAACTGCTTTAACTACCCAAAAATATGATGTCCCCTAAGCTTTTTAAAAATACATAAATTAGAAAATCATTAGCATATAAATCATACCACTGGAAAAAATATTGTAGGTTGATGGAGCTAAGGTGGGTTTTCTAACACAAAGACAAGTTAGAAAGCCCAATGGAGAAAGAATATTTATTCATAAATCCAAGTGAAATTAATTGGAACAATTTAGTGACAGTTTCAAAACAATGGCACCCATCAGAGGTGCTGCAATTGTCTTTCACAGTGGACCCATTAGCCAGCACTCTATTTTAACTACTTTTCCTCGGGGACCAGCTTTACTCAATTAAAAATGATTTATGACTTTGGTTCTATTTTATAATCATTTTGGGGAGAGTTCATGCATCCACATACATATCCATCTAACTTTGGACTGAAAAAAATTTTCAAAAATTCCATAATCTGATTGGCTGACACTGAGAAGTGAAAGAGATTTAAGAGCTTGATATAATCAACATAAATGTTCCACTGATTCTCAAAACCAGGAGTACATTCCTTGCTGTCAGGCCTGTGGAACCACAACCCTGCCACTCACTCCACACATTTGGGCTTCTCTCTGTGGGTCCAGAGCTGCTCCATCAATCTCTTGCTTGTTTGATATCAGGAAGTAGTGACAGACCATTCTGAAATTTCAATTAATCCTATGCTTTTCAGTTAATGCTGAGTGCTTATGGATTACAACATGTTCTATATATCCTGCATCTTAAATCTGCCCTTTAAAATAAAATATGGAAGGAAAACATACATTTTTTAACTAAAAAGATGCTTTGAACTAAAAAAAAAAAAGTTGCTCTAAAAGGAAAATAACTAAAGGGATAAATGAACTAAAAAATTATTGTCTGAAATATTTAAGTTCTCTCCTTTCATAACTTTCAACCATTTATCCTTCATTTAATTCTTTCAGCCATTTATCTTTTACTTAATTCTCCCTTCATATCCACCTCTTGCTCTGTCCCCACTGCCTGTCACAGGCCTTCATCAGATCACGCTTGTGCCTCTGCAGTGATGTTGCAACTGGCTGCCATCTGACTACTCTCTCACTCTTTCTCTCCATCCCAAAGATCAGGGCTAAAGAAACCATTCAGCATTACACTTCCCTAGTCAAAATAACTCCCATATTCCCCTCCACACGGCCATTGTTACCAACCTAGGCCCAGGGCAGAGAGAACAGCTGAGTAGATGGGGTTCGTGATGCCCTTCTCACTTCAAGACACACTTGCGTTGCTCTGTTAATAGATTGCATCTCCTTGTTTAGTATACTGACACTTGCACTTTCATCTGTTTAATATATTGCCAAAATATCATTTGAAAAAGCATTCCGGAACCTTGAAAATGTCTCAACACCAATGACCTACATACAGAATGAAGGCTAAATAATCAAGTATAATGTTCAAGACCCTCCATGGCCTGATCTCCTACCATTAGAGGCAGCCCCACTGTGGAAGTTAAGTACAGCTCTTGGTCAGATTGCTGGTGCTCAAATCCAGGGCCCATCCATGTTAACACTGTGAACTTTATTTAAATTGTCACCATCTCAGAATCTCTAACAATTTCGTGTGGAAAACAGGAATGCTGGTAGGTACCCAGCTAACAAGCTCATCATATGGATTAAATGAAATTATAGGCTATGTGTGATGGCTCACGCCTGTAATCCCAAAACTTTTGGGAGGCTGAGGCGGACAGATCACTTGAGGCCAGGAGTTCAATACCAGCCTGGCCAACGTGGCAAAACACCACCTCTACTAAAAATACAAAAATTTGGTGGGTATGGTGGCACACATCTGTAATCCCAGCTACTCAGAGGCTGAGGCAGGAGGATTCCATGAACCCAGGAGGTGGAGGCTGCAGCGCGCTGAGATCGCACCACCACACTCCAGCCTGGGCAACAGAGTGAGACTCTGTCTTAAAAAAAAAAAAAAAATTATATAAATGAAGCACTTAGAACAGAGTGGACACAAAATCAAGGATCAATGGTAGCCATCACGATTTCCTCTCAAGCTTATTAAGCCCTCATGTAAACTCTCTGTTATGAATGAACAGCTTTATCACCATTCCTCAGATACTCCTTGGGTGTAGATAAAACCTCTTCCTGGGCCTTTATCTCCAAACTAGAAATGCCAGCATTTCTGGAAGCTGCTGGCTTTACAAGCAAGAGTGGAAGGGAAAGAGGAGAGGATATTGAAAAAATATCCATTAAAGCACCTTATAAGTAGAGTCTTATCTTTGAACTTCCTGCTCTCCACCAGTCACTGTTCACTCAAGTGTAATATTGAGAAATTAGGGCTTTGCTAAAAGGGTGGAGAAGGGCGGAAGCAAATAAAACTGGAAGATACTCTTATTTTCAGTGACAGAATCCCAGTTGCTTAAGAATCCCTAAGCATGTATTAACAGACACCATTCCAAAAACTAAGTGCTTACAAAGCCAATTTGATCTGGAAAATCATTTAGATTTTAAAGTGAATGTTCATTTTGACCTGTTTAAACATTAAAGATCCCCTGGCCCCTTTCAAAGAACAGGAGTCAAGTTTCACCTTCTAAACCAACTCTCTTCCCCTTGCTTCATTCCATTCTGTGTTGGTTTCCTTCACAAGGTAATGTGTTTTAACATTTTATGTGCTTCCCAGAACAGTTTGAGTAGGAAGGTACCTTATGAGTATAAAATAATATATTCCAACACAGACATTCTGCTTATAACTAATGTAGCTTTCCCTACCATATGCAATAGTATCCTAAATTTTGACCACTAGGAGAAGCATAATGAACCACATGACATTTGGGAATTTCCTCCACTCTGGAATTGCAGTAGGTGTGTTTGGGAGTGGGAGGATTTTAATCTTGTCAAGTCATAAGTACCATAGTTAATGAATACATTTCTGTTTCAGTATGTTGATCCATTTAGTGAAAGTCTCAATCCCACTTGCCATGCCAACTTCCTTATTAGATTTTCAATTTTTATACCATTTGTGAATAAGCAGATAATTATAACCATAGATTTAATATTTTTCCAGATTTCCATTCATTAGTAACCATGGACATGCTCTATTATGTGTCTGCCTATTCCAAAATATGGTGCTTTAAGAAAGAGATATTTTGCTTTGGCTCCTAGAGCTGTAACAAGAGCACCACAGATTTCCTACAAATATACATCTGGCATCCTGCCTTTGTAGTCCAGGACAAATCAGTTCCAGGAAAACCACCACCACCTTCAAATCTGTGGCTGCTTGCAGAACACTAACTGGGTTTGAGTCTACTTAGCCCATTCCATACTCAGATGAAAGATCACGGTAGGACATATTGCTATATTTCTCTTTAGATCTTTCTTAGTGACATCATACAATTGTAAGAAGAAAAAAAGGGGTTATGCATCAGCTGCTGCTATGTGCCGGGCACTGTGCCACATTTTGGGGGATTCATAAGTACAAGAGCCTTTGTATTCTGTGAGTTCCTTGAGGAGCTCACCATCTACTGAGGGAGACACACTCATATACAGACAAATAAATATGCCATGCTTAGTCACTAACTGAGGCAGAACAGACTGGGGGAGACATTTACTAAATGGTCAGATATATTATCTGAAGAAGTTAGAGCACTTCCAAGAACCATAGGAAGATCCTCTAGACACATTGTGTTTGGTTCCATAGATCTAGAATAAAAATTAACATTGATAATTTACCAGGTTATCTGAGACAGTCATAGAGACAGCTCCAAGCCATTTATGTATATGGAGTCTGAGATGTCCCGCCCTAACACCAAATGAACCAATGATAAGAAATGTTCCTTGTCACCAAGGTTTCTTTTCCAAAAGAAAGCACTCTGATTTCCACCTTGTGAAATGTACCATGCATGGTCCCAACATGGAAGACATGCCACAGCTGGTAATAAGAGACCACAGCTGAGGAAATCTTGCAACATGCCTTTAACATCCCACATGCTGCAACCATGCAAAAAATTCAGAATAAATAAAAGCCAGTCCTTCGCTGTTATGATTACTTGAGTTGTGATCCCTTCACACATGGGGTTAAAGTCGAAAATACTTTAAATTTCAACTGAGAACCTATTTCCTCTATCTGAATTATTTAAAATGTCTTATAACAGAATACTTATGATAAACATCATCAATTGCTGATAGATTTTCCCAGAGAAAGGAGAACTTCTCAGGGAGGGTCTCGATCTCACTCACAGCTCTTACTGCTCTCTTTGTACTGGGCTCTGTAAGTTTGCTTAAAGATGTGTAAAATTTCATGTAGTTTGACAGTCCCCTGAGGGTTCTCATGTGTGTTGTTTATCCCACTCTGTATGTGATACAACATTCACTCACAATTTTCTTCTTGGACAGCCTTAGAGGTTTGTAAAGATTGTAAATATTTAGTTTTCAAAGTCAAAACTATCCACTTTTGTTCAAAATACCTCTCTTCCAGAAAGTCTCAAACATCTGTTTAGAAAATCTTATAGCCAGTTTCTAGCCTAACACAAACTATAAAACACACACACAAAGTTATATCATCTCTAAGGGAATAAGATGTATGGAAGATATGGAAATGGGACAGGGTTTGGGACTGAGATGTATCAGAATGTTTTGAACTATCAAAAAAATCAAAATGGCTTAATCAGTTGGAGACACTTATTTTCTCCAAAGTAAGAGGTTTAGCGATAGGATGTTTCCAGAATTAATACAGCAATTTAACAATATCCTTAAGGATTCAACTTCTTTCTGCCTTGATCTGCTATCCTCAGTGCAACCTTCCCCCCCCTCAAAATTATGTCCTCTTTGTTGCAAGATGGCTGCAGCTGCTTCAAGTTTCATACTCCACCCATCAGTGTTCTGAAGGGCAGGCCAGAATGCATCTCATTCTTACCCTTTTTTTTCAGAACAAAGTACACTTTTCCAGAAGTCATTATGAAGAATTAACTTTATGTCTTTTTTTTTCTTTTGACTGAGAAGGTAGTTTTATTATTTTAATCCTACCACTTTTCTAGAAGAAAATAAAGAAATCAGCCTACTCCTGCTGCCTGTTTAGTCATCACCACCAAATTAACCTTTCCATAATCATACATAGAAATCATGTCTATTATTTATGTAGTTACATATATTTTAAGCAAAATGCAATTATCTTGTATTTTTCTGCAACTTGATTTTTTTTCTTTCATTTTTAGTTTACACATAATAATTGTACATAAGATATAGAATGATATTTTTGATGCACGTATACAATATGTAATAATCAAATTGAGGTAATTAGCATACACATCCCCTCAAACATTTATGATTTATTTGTGTTGCAAACATTCAAAATCCTCTCTTCTAGCTTTTTTAAAACATACAATAAATTATCATTAACTATGTTCACCTTACAGTGCAATAGAGCACTAGAACTTATTCCTCCTCACTAGCTATAATGTTGTACCTGTTAACCAACCTCTCCCTGTCCTCCCCTCCCCTCTACCCTTCCCACCCTCTAATAACTACAGTTCTATTTTCTACTTCTATGAGATCAGTTTTTTAGCTCCCACATATGAGTGAGAACCTGTGGTATTTGTCTTTCTGTGCCTGACTTATTTCACTTAACATAATGTCCTCCAGGCCCATCATGTTGTCATGAGTGACAGAATTTCATCCTTTTTATGGATAAATACTACTCCATTGTGTATATATATACATACATACATATATATATACATATATATATATACACATACATATATATATATATACACATACATATATATATATATATACACATACATATATATATATATATATATGCCTCATTTTCTTTATCCATTCATCTGTTGATAGACATTTAGACTGATTCTATATCTTGGCTATTATGAATAGCACTGCAATAAACTTAGGATATACAGTCATCTCTTCAGTGAATTGATTTCCTTTACTTTGGGTAAATACCCAGTAGTGAGATTGCTGAATCATATCGTAGTTCTATTTTTAGTTTCTTGAGAAACCTTCATATTGTTTTTATTAATGGCTGTACTAATTTACATTCCCATCAGCAGTATATAAGAGTTCTCTAAATCCCTTTTTTTTTGAGACAGAGTTTCACTCCGTCACCCAGGCTGGAGTGCAGTGGCACCATCTCGGCTCACTGCAACCTCCACCTTCTGGGTTCAAGTGATTCTCATGCCTCATCCTCCTGAGTAGCTGGGATTACAGGCCTGTACCACCACACCTGCCTAATTTTTATATTTTTGGTAGAGATGGGGTTTTGCCATGTTGGCCAGGCTGTCCTCAAACTCCTGGCCTCAAGTTATCTGCCCACCTCTGCCTCTCAAAATGCTGGGATTACAGGCATGAGCCACTATGCCCAGCCTTTAAATCTTTGCTATGTATTATTGATAGGAATTGTGTCATTAGGCCATTCCTAACTAATTTGTAGCAAAATAATGAAATTACCACTCTTAGGTTCAGACTAATCACTATTTAACTTCCTCCAAGTACTTGAAGTTCTTGGCTGCCCAATATCTGAACAAAATTGGCAGAAAGTAGAAATGGCTATTTGATAAACAACCAAGTGTCTATCACAACAGAGAATATAAGTGCTTTGACTTTGCTTTTAATCCAGCCTCCCTAATGACTGCTTTACTGGGCAGTAAAGAAGGCACTATAGAGCAGTAGTTAAGGCCACAGTTCTAAAGTCAGGGGGTCTAGATTCAAATTCCATCTCTATCATTTATGATCTGCAAAACTTTAGGCAAGTTACTGAGCCTAAATTCCTTTCTGATACCTTTCTAAGCCTAAAATTCCACGTGTACAATGTCAGAAAAAAATAGTAAATAGTACCATAATGCAAGTATGTATATTAAATTAAATAATGCGTATATAATGCTTAGCCAACCATCTAACTCCTGGTGTCAACAAATATTAACAGGTATTATTAACATAATCTTACTGTAGAAACTAGCTCTCAATGCCTAAAGGATTAAAGAATACCCCTTTTCATATGGCATTAAAAACAACAACAACAAAATCCTCAAAAATGCAAGGCCACTAAAAAAGTCTGGAGGTAGGAAGGGAAGATAACATAGTTTAATCGTATGCAGAAAAGCACATCCGTGGCTAAGCAACCACTTCAATAGGTTAGCAATCTCTTCAGAAAATATAGAAGGGCAATGTCATATGTTTAAAATCAAATGTACTAGGTTCACAGTCCATCTCTCTCATCACACTCTCTCTGGCTGTAATTCCTCTTCTTTCATTCATTTGGTGACTGCACCCTATAAAAATGCTTAAAATCAAAATCTTTGTTTTTCTCTGTTTTCTTCTCAAAAACACATTTGTCAAAAGATCTAAGCAAGTGAGCAGGAATTTATAAACCCAGCTTTAAAATCAGTTACATCTAAGTAAGACACCAGATACTCAACTGGGCATTGTTTTTAAATTCCAGCTTTGTTCATTCTCAAAACTAAAGATTCCCTAAGATACATTTAGTTGCCTTTAGACCATCATCTTCTCAATCTTTAGCATACATTAGATGCAATTATTCATATAAAGAATGTCTGGTTTACTTGGCTAGATGTTTTTGCTCTAATTTTAAATGGATTTGGCACCCTAGGAAAGAGTAAAATGGTCAGACAATCACAACAGAAAGATGAACAGGGACTTCTCACCAGTTGCTCTTTTTTAGCTCTCTCTTGTGTGATCAATGCAAATTAGAATTTTAAATACATTTGTAAATTGTATTTGTACCCTAATTTGAAATCTGCCCTGAGAAACTTTCAGTCCAGTGCTTAGCTGGTAGAATTTCAATATGTTTCTGGTTTGAATAACAAATGAAATAGCAAATCTCTCCTCACATTTTTATAAATCCATTAATTTTTGAAGATTGAAAAAAATGATCTTGGAGTTTTTCATAAGCTCTTTAGGAAACTTATTCTATGAGTTTCCTTAGCACCAAAAAGGGCTCTTAAGCCAGATGGATAGAAAGAAAATCTAGAAAGAAAGCATACAAAATCTAAAACAAAAGTACAAATCTCTGAATCATATAATACAACATCCAATTTTCTTTTTAGTTGTGAGTTTACCATATGGGAACAATAAGGGGAAAATTCAAAATATAATCTCCATGGATTGTTTCTGGGGGCCTAAGATATTAGTCCATCTTTACAAAAAGAAAAATCCCCAAACAACTACTATCATACATAAAGTTAGTTGTTAATCAAACTCAGAAGAAGGCAAAATAATACTTTGTATATAAAGCAGACAGTTAAGAAACATTAGTTATTCTATGTAAAGGTAATGTTCACCCAAAACACAAACAAAATGGGGCAAAAATTCAGGGCAATTTAAAAACAAAAAAATCATACAATACCAGTTAGGACAAGAATTGAAAATGACACCATCTAGGCCTGTTCTTGTTTAGGAATGTCGAAAGAAAAGATCTATAATAATTCTTTGGCCTTTCTTTAAAAGAAATTTTTTCTTCTTTGTTCTGCAAGAAAAAAAAAAAAAACAATAATTAGCAAACCACAGATGAGAGTGAGTGCTCTCATTTAACACGGCAAATATGCCACCCAAGACCACAACTGCTGCCATCACCATTTTGCATGCCCATTTTTGCCCTTGCTTTTTTAAAACTCCAAACCTCAAGGAAGGTGCAGTGAGTTGTCACTGGAAGTGCCTTAGGGAACCAACTAAATGAGAACAACTGAAAGAGTTGGAAGGATATTATCAAGTTACCCCTTCCAGAGAGGCAGTAAATATTTACTGAGCTTCAACTCTGTGCAAAATTGTTGGCTATGCTCTGGACAGTGAAAAGTGTATGAGCTAAGACCTTGTTCCTATAGGAATTTATGAAAAAGTAGGAGAAATAATGACTATACATAAAAATGAAGGCCGGGCGCGGTGGCTCACGCCTGTAATCCCAGCACTTTGGGAGGCCGAGGTGGGCGGATCACGAGGTCAGGAGATCGAGACCATCCTGGCTAACACGCTGAAACCCCGTCTCTACTAAAAATACAAAAAATTAGCCGGGCGTGGTGGCGGGCGCCTGTAGTTCCAGCTACTTGGGAGGCTGAGGCAGGAGAATGGCGTGAACCCAGGAGGCAGAGCTTGCAGTGAGCCGAGATAGTGTCACTGCAGTCCGGCCTGGGTGAAAGAGCGAGACTCCGTCTCAAAAAAAAAAAAAAAAAAAAAAAAAAAAAAGAATCATGTGCATAAATAATAAAAAAAGTTGAACAGAAGTACAAAGTTTCAGTCAGGTGTATTATTTGTTTTTAATAAAAATCTTTTTTATTCCATCTGGTTATAACTCCCCACTCTCCCAAACATTGACAGTGGAAGTGAAGGCAAATCTTGCATTGGGGATGGTAGAAGGACCTAAAGGCCTAAAGAATCCCAGCACTAGCAAGGACCCCTGGAAAAAGTGTGGAAGACTTCCCCTTCGGTATTGGAGATTCCATAGAACACGAGTTCCATGAGGATGGGTAGCATGCCTGCAATATTCACAACTCCTTTACCTAGAACTTCACAAAATATCTAGAATGTAGTATTTCTCAATGAAAAGTAAGTTACTATTATTTTCAAACAATTCCATTTAGGTACTTGGAAAAACCAAGTATGATAAAGTGGGGTTATTTATTTTCACTGTTCTAGCCCAGTATGGGAGAGAGGGGGAAAGGAAGACAGCTCTGAAAAGCTGAAGCTGGTAGAGGGATCACCTCACACTTGAATCTGGAGGTACCCTGAGACCAAGAAAGTATACAGGGGTGCAATTGGAATTTGGGTTCCTAATGGGTTACCTAAATAAGAGCAAGAGCCGGGGTATGGATAAGGCAAAAAAGCACGATCTGAAAATAGTGCAGGTAAGCAGGAGAGAGACGTGGGAAAATGTCTGAGATAAAGCTGCTGCTGTCTGTGTAACAAATGGATGTACCATCCTTTATTAAAAAGTTGGGGACCAAGTGATAATTATTTTGTAATTTATCCCACATCGGGCCTAAAAATGTTCCTTAAGAATTAAAGGGCTCCAAAACCATCACCTGAAGAATGTTAAGGGAAATTGGGGAGTGCAGTAAAATGACATTACAAGATAATATAGGAAAATTAATAGTATTCATTGGAATAAACAATTCAAAAATATTTCTAACACTTAGAAAATATGTTTAAGGCATCCAATTCACAATAGCCAACACAAATTATAAACCTCACAAAAAATGATCACTGTAAATAAGAAGTACATTTTACTAAGAGAAAGGACCAGAACAAAGGAGAGAGTTACCATGCTCCTGGGGTGGGGGGAAACTTCATATTTTACAACTATCAATTCCCAAATGGTAATCTAAATTTGGATAAATCCCAAAATTTAAATATAATTTAAACTGAACATTTTTCATACCTGACAAACGCTATTATTTATCTGGAAGACACAGTGCTAAGAAAGAGCCAGCATATAATTCTAAAGAGAAGAGTGAGTAGGAAATTTAACATACTTTAAATTAGGAAAATACTTTGCTCTTGGGTACAATAATAAAGAGATACATAAACAAATAGGAGAGGGCAAAATAGGAGATTGCAGTCCTCATACTGTCACAGAAACACTGATTTTTGACAACCATCCACAGACAGGAATACCTCTGTGTTAACCCAGAAGTCCAGGAGAGACATTCCAGCACTGCATTAGAGCAAAAAAAATGAGGACAGATGCAGTGATTAAGTGAGAAGAACAGTTTCACTTTACCTGCATCATCTCTCCCTCAAGGCAGCACAGCTTAATGTCAAGAGAGACCTCCTCAGCCTGTAGTTTTCTCCCATGGGGAAAAATAAGGGTGAAGTAAGTGCCTGGTTTCTTCAGACTCACAAGACATTGCCCAAGAGGCCAACGCCTGCCTCATCCCCTCCAGATCACTGAGGGAATCAGCACAGCTGGATAGTCTGGGGAGAGACAGAAGCAGGAAAAAGGAGGTGGAGTTCACAGCAACCACTGCATAGATCTCAGGACAGGCCACAGGTCCTACTAACTGGTTTGTGGACTCCACCAAGAGGCCTGTCTACAAACCCCATGGGTGACCTCACCTGTAATCACTCCCCAGTGGCCAACACATGTCCCTAGCAGTCCACATGTACCCCTGAGATAGCTCACACAGGCCTCTGCAGATGGCATGTACACCCTCCCACAGATAGAACCCAAGCTTTCACTCACAGCAAGGGCAAGCCCCTGCAGAGGGTGCAAGCAAATACCCACAGACAGCATGAAGACAGCAGCAGCTAGCTCAACTTGTGAGATCGGAAGAAGGAGTGCAACCTTGAACACTTTCAAGCACTGCCATGAGGAAAATAAACAGAAAGTTCTCCACACCTGGCTCAATTTTGCAGGATTAAGAGAAGGCACACAATCCTAAGACTTCCTCTCCAAGAGGGAAAAAAAGGAGCGGGGAGGGTGCATCCATAGAAAAGCCCTGCAAAAACCCCAAAATGTCTGGCTGGGCTTTCTTGAGTTAAGGTCTTTCTCTCCTAAAGCAGTCTCAGTAAAGACTAGAAGAAAGAACTGTTTTTCAAATGTGAAGATAGCAATCCAAGATGTCAAGGAACATGAAGAATCAAGGAAACATAACACCAAAGGAGCAAAACAAAACTCCAGTAGCTGACCCCAAATAAATGGAGATCTATGAAATCCCCTGTAAAGAATTCAAAGTAATAGTTGCAAAGAAGCTCAGTAAGCTGCAAGAGAAGACATACAAGCAAATAAACAATATCAGAAAAACAATACGTGAACAAAATAAAAAATTCAACAAAGAGATAGAAAACATAAAAAGAACCAAAAATAAATTCTACAGTTAAAACATATAATAATTGGCCAGGCACAGTGGTTCATGCCTGTAACCCCAGCACTTTGGGAGGCAGAGGTGGGTGGATCACTGGAGGCCAGGAGTTTGAGACCAGACTGGCCAACAAGGCAAAACACCGTTTCCACTAAAAATACAAAAATTAGCTGGGCATGGTGTCATATGCCTGTAATCCCAGCTACTTGGGAGGCTACGTCATGAGAATCACTTGAACCTGGGAGGCGGAGGTTGCAGTGAGCCAAGATCATGCCACTGCACTCCAGCCTGGATGACAGAGTGAGACTCTGTCAAAAAACAAAGGAAAAAAGGAAGGAAGGAAGGAAGGAAGGGAAGGAGGGAGGGAAAGGAAGGATGGAAAGGAAAGGAAAGGAAAGGAAAGGAAAGGAAAGGAAAGGAAAGGAAAGGAAAAGAAAGGAAGAAAGAAAATGATATGAAAAATTCAATAGTTTTAATAGCAGACTCTATCAAGGAGAAGAATCGGTGAACTCAAAGATAGATCATCTGAATTATTCAATCAGAAGAACAAAAAGAAAAAATAATAAAAAAGTAAAGAATGCCTATATGACATGGGACATCATCAAGAGAAATAATGTACATATCATAGAAGTTCCAGAAGTAACAGAAAGGGAGAATGGGTCAGAAAGGTTATTTACATAAATAATGAAAAATCAGGGGAGGGAAATGAGCGTCCAGATCCATGAGGCCCAGAAAATATCAAATAGGTAGAACATCAAAAGATATTCACCAAGAAACATTATAATCAAATTGTCAAAAGTTAAAGAGAAAATTTTGAAAGCAACAAAAGTGATGTGTCACATATAAGGAAACCTTCACAAGACTATGAGCAGATTTCTCAGCAGAAATCTTGCATGCCAGGAGAGAATGCCTGATATATCCAAAGGCAGGAGGGGAAAAAAATCAATTAATAACTTACCCAACAAACCTATCCTTCCTCAGTGAAGGAGAGAAAGACTTTCTCAGACAAACAAAATCTGAAGGAGTTCATCAGCACTAGAACTTCCCTACAAGAAATGCTAAAGGGATTTCTTCAGCTGCAGCAAATGGCCACTAAAGAGAAACATGAAAGTACATGAAAGTATAAAACTTACTGGTAAAAGTAAGTATATAGTCAAATTCAGAATACTTTAATACTGAATGATTGTGCATAAATCACTTTTAACACTAGTATAAAAGTTGAAAGTATTAAAATATAGCTATAATAATTCAATAAAGGACACATTATTTTTAAAAATGTAGATACTAATATAAATAAAAGGTAGGGAAGTAAAAAATATAGTTTTTATAATCAAAGTTAAGTTGTTATCAGCTGAAGACAGAATGTTGTAAGATGTTTTAAGTAAGCCTCATGCTAATCACAAGAAAAAATCTATTATGCACAATAGATAAAGAAAAAGGAATCAAAACATAAAACTACAAAAAAACCCATCAAATTACAAAGGAAGACAACAAAAGAAAAAGAAGGGAACAAATAATCTACAATACAGCCAGAAAACATTAACAAAATGGCAATAGTAACTCCTAACCTATCAATAATTACTTAATTATAAGTGGATTAAATTCTGCACTCAAAAGACATAGAGTGGTTGAATAGATTAAAAAACAAGATCTAACTATACTCTGCCTATAAGAGACTCACTTTAGCTCTGAAGACACATAGGATGAAAGTAAAATGATGGAGAAAGATATCACATGCAAATGGAAACCAAACTGGGTGGCTACACTTATATCAGGTAAAATAGACTACGAGTCAAAAACCATAACAAGAGGTAAAGAAGGTCATTGTACAATGAAAAAAGGGTCAGTTCATCAGAAGTGTATAACAATTATATATGTTCCCAGCATTGAAGCATCTAAATATATAAAGCAAATATTAATAGAGCTGAAAGGAGAAATAGACGGCAATACAATAATAGCAGGGGATTTCAGTGCTCTACTTTCAGCATTGGATAGATCATTCAGGCAGAAAATCAACTTTAAAAAATGGTGGACTTGCCGGGTGTGGTGACTGACACCTGTAATCTCAGTATTTCAAGAGGCTGAGGTAGGGAGATCACTTGTGGTCAGGATTCTGAGACCAACCTGGCCAACATGGTGAAACCCTGTTTCTACTAAAAATATAAAAATTAGCTGGGTGTGTTGGTGGGCACCTGTAATCCCAGCTACTCAGGAGGCTGAGACGGGAGAACAGCTTGAAATCAGAAGGCAGAGGTTGCAGTAAGCTGAGGTGGTGCCACTGCACTCCAGCCTGGGCAACAGAGACTCTGTCTCAACAACAACAACAAAAAAATAGTGGGCTTGAACAATACTGTAGACAAAATGAACTTAACAGACATATACAGAACATTCAATCTAACAGCAACGGAATACACATTTTTCTCATGGGCACATAAAACATTCTTCAGGATAAATCATGTGTTAAGCCACAAAACAAGTATGACCAAATTTAAGATTTAAATGTCAAATGTCTTTTCCAATCACAATGGCATGAAACTAAAAATACAAGGGAAATTTTGGAAATTTCACAACACACTCTTGAATAAATAAATAAATAAATAATAACTTTGTACCTCACGTAATGAGAAAAACATACTAACCCCAAAGTGAACAAAAGAGAAATAATAAAGATCAGAGCAGAAATAAATGAAACAAACTAGAAACATTATTGAAACTAAGAATTGGTTTCTGAAAAGATAAACAACATTGACAAACCTTTAGCTATACAAAGAAAAAAGATGGGGCCTGCTGGTGGGGTATGGTAGGGGGAGAGAGAATATTAGAAAGGATGGCTAATGCATTCTGGGCTTAATACCTAGGTGATGGGTTGACAGGCGCAGTAAACCACTATGGCACATGATTACCTATGTAACAGACCTGCACATCTTGCACATGTACCCTAGAACTAAAAAGAAGAAGAAAAAACAGACAAGACTCAAATAAATAAAAGAATAAATGAAAGAGAAGACATTACAACTGATACCACAGAAATACAAAAGATCGTATGAGAATATATGAACAATTCTGCTGCAACGAATTTCACAAGCTAGAAGACATTGATAAATTCCTAAACTCATACAACCTACCAAGAATCATGAAAAAATAGAAAAATGTGAACAGACCAATAAAAAGTAAGGAGAGTGAAGCAATAAACAAAAGCCTCCCAACAAAGAAAAGCCCAGGACCAAATCCTTAACAAAATACTAGCAAACCATATTCAACAGCACATTAAAAGGATGATATACTATGTTTAAGATTTATCCCTGGGATGTAAGGATGGTTCAAAATAAATAAATCAACATGACATACCACACTAATAGAATGAAGGATAAAAATTATTTCATTAGAATAAGAAATCTCATTAGAAGGACCATCTCATTAAACGAAGAAAAAAAATTTGACAAAATTCAATATTTTTGCGTGATAAAAACTCTTAACAAATTAGATATACAAGATAAGTGTCTTAACATAATAAAAGCCATAGATGACAAGTTCACGGATAACATAGTCAATGGTGAAAGCTGAGATTTTCTTCTAAGATCAGGAATAAGACAAGGATGTCCACTCTCACCACTTCTATTCAATACAGTACTGGATGTCCTTGCCAGAGCAATTAGGCCAAAAAACTAAAAGAGGAGGCAGAGGAAAATAGAAGGTATCCACATAGGAAAAGAAGACATAAAACTGTCTCTGTTTGCAGATGGCATGGTCTCATATACAGAAGACTTCATGAAAAAAAAACTGTTAGAACTAATAAATGAATTCAGTAAAGTGGTATCATATAAAGTCAACATAAAAAATTAGCCGTGTTTCTATACTGCAATAACAAACTATCCAAAAAGAAAGCAATCCCATTTACGAGATCATCAAAAAGAAGAAAATGCTTAGGAGTATAATAACCAAGGTGAAACTATACACTGAGAACTATAAAACATTGATAAAAGAAATGACTTAATATTGTTAAAATGTTCATACTACCCAAAGCACTGTACAAATTCAATGCAAACCTTATCAAAATTTACATAGAATTTTTTACAGAAATAGAAAAAACAATCCTAAAATTTGCATGGAACCACAAAGACCCTGAATAATCACAGCAATCTTGAGTAAGAAGAATAAAGCTGGAGGCATCACACTTCCTGATTTCAAAATCTCCTACGAAGCTATAATAATCAAAAGAGTATGTCACTACCATAAAAACAGACACATAGGCCAATGGAACAGAATCAAGAACCCAGAAATTAATCCACACATATACGGCCAACTAATGTTCAACAAGGGTTCCAAGAATACACAATGGAGTAAAGATAGTCTCTCCAATAAATCGTGTTGGAAAAGCTGGATATCCACACATAAAAGATGAAATTGAACCCTTATCTTACACCATGCACACCAATCAAATCACAGTATATTAAGACCTGAAACAATAATACCCCTAGAAAAAAATATGGGGGAAACAACTTTTTGACATTGTTCTCAGCAACAATTTTTAGACTTTGACACCAAAAGCATATGCAATGAAACCAAAAATAAACAAGTAAGATTACATCAAAATAAAAAGCTTCTGCACAGCAAAGGAAACAATCAACAATGAAAAAGCAACCTAAACAATGAAAAAATATATTTGCAAACTGTGTATCTAATAAGGGGTTAATTTCCAAAATAAGTAAGGAGCACATACAACTCAATAGCAAAGGAACAATCAATCTGATTTTTAAATGGGCAAAGAACGTGAATAGACTTTTGTCCAAAGAAGACATACAAATAACCAATAGGCATATGAAAAGGTGCTCACATGAGTAACCATGAGGAAAATGCAAATCAAAAATCACAGGGAGATATCATTTCACACCTGTTAAGATGGCTATTATTAAAAATAAATAAATAAATAACAAGTGTTGGCTGGCAAAGATTTGGAGAAAAGGGAACCCTTACACATTATTAGTGAGAATGTAAATGAGTACAGCCATTATGGAAAACACTATGGAGTTTCTTTAAAAAATTAAAATAGAACTACCACATGACCCAGTTATCACCCTTTTGCGATTTCAAAAGAATTGAAATCTGGATATTAAAGAGATACCTATGTTTATTACAGCATTATTCACAATAGCCAAGATATGGAAACAATCTAAATGTTCATTGACAGATGAATGGATAAGAAAATGTAGTATATACATACAGTGGAATATTTTTCAGCCTTTAAAATAGAAAATTCTGTCATTTGTGACATGAATGAACTCATAGAACATTATGCTAAGTGAAATAGACCACACACAGAAAGACAAATACTACATTCCACAAATTAGATTCCACAAATCTCACTTAAATGTGGAATCTAAAATAGTCAAATTCATAGAAGCAGAGAGGAGGATAGTGGTGATGAGGGGCTGCGAAAGGCGGAATATGAAGAGATGTTGGTCAATTGGTGCCAAGTTTCAGTTGTGCAAAATGAATACATTCTGGAAATCTAACGTATAGCATGATGACTGTAGGTAACAATACTTTAATGTATACTTGAAATTTGCTAAGAAGTAGATCCTAAGGTTTCTTATCATAAAAAAAGTAACTATGTGAGTTGATGATACATTCATTAGCTTGATTGTGATGATTATTTCACAATGTATATGTTTATCACATCATCAAATTGTACACTTTAAATACATACAATTAAAAACTATATCAACATTAGTTCATTACTTGTGACAAATGACATAGTAAGATAAAACAATATGGAATACTGAGTGAGAGCTACACAAGAAGACTCTGTACTATCTTTGCAACTTTTCTGTAAAACTAAAACTATTCTAGCCGAGCAAACTACAGACGTAGAAGAAGCAGCAGGAAGAGCCCGTAGGCACTCTTAGTCCCCAGGGAAGCCATTTCTTACTTTGTCTCACAGGGGTCCTTGGGGAGGTCCTTGAGAGGAACAAGGAAAAGACCACAGGGAGAAGAAAACTTCCAGCTGAACTTTGTAACAATTTTGACCAAATGGACAGTTTCCTGGACAGAACCTGGGAGAACGGGTGAATTGGAAGTGCAGACACAGCACCAAAGCCACAGCAGGCAAGGAGGCACAAAACCTGAAATCCCTGCTTGCTTTCTCAGCTGGGAGGCTGGCAGCCTGGGACAAGTTCTCAGCTTTGCTCACCCCCTGCCCAGATATGAAGTCGGTGCTGTTGAGGGGGCACGATAGTAGTGAGACCAGCCTTTGGGGCTGCATGGGAGCTGGGTGAGGCCTATAACTGCCGGCTTTCCTCCACTTCCCTGGTGACTTGCATGACACAGCAGAGGCAGCCAGCCATAACCCACCCAGGAACATAACTCCATTGGTCTGAGAGCCACACCCCTAGCCCCCACAACAGCTGCAGCAAGCCCCAGCAAGGAGAGTTAAGCTCAGATACACCTAACTCTGCACCAACCTGATGGTCTTTCTCTACCCACCCTGGTAGTCGAAAACAAAGGACATAACCTCTTGGGAGCTCTATGGCCCCACCCACTGTCTCATCCTCCCTATACTATCACAGCTGATGCTCTCTTGAAAGCACCATCTCCTGGTTGGAGATCAACCAACACAAAACTAGCACAATAAACAAAACTATAAACAAGGACCCTCACAGAGTCCACTTCACTCCCCTGCCACCTCCTCTGGAGTGAGTGCTGATATCCATGGCTGAGAGACCTGAAGACAGTTCACATCACAGGACTCTGTGCAGATAAGCCCAGCACCAGCCCAGAGCCTGGTAGCTCCACTGGGTAGCTAGATGCAGAAGAAAAATAACAATCACTGCAGTTAGGCTCTCAGGAAGCCACATCCCTAGGGGAACAGAGAGAGCACCACATCAAGGTGCTCTTGGAAAAAAGGAATCTGAACAGCAGCCCTTGAGCCCCAGATATTCCCTCATGTAGTCTATCCAAATGAGAAGGAACCAGAAAAACATTTCTGGTAATATAAAACAAGGTTATTTAATACCCCCAAAAATCACACTAGCTCACTAGCAATGGATCTAAACCATGAAGAAATCACTGAATTGACAGAAAAAGAATTCAGAAGGTCAATTATTAATCTAATCAACGAGGCACCAAAGAAAGGTAAAGTCCAACTAAATGAAATTAAAAAAATGATACAAGATATGAAGGGGAAAACCTTTAGTGAAATAGATAACATAAACGAAAAACAATCACAACTTCTGGAAATGAAAGACACACTTAGAGAACTGCAAAATATAATGGCAAGTCTCAGCAATCGAATCAAGAAGTAGAAGGAAGAACTTTGGAGCATGAAGACAAGACTTTTGAATTAACTCAATCCAACAAAGGCAAAGAAATAAGAATTTTTAAAAATTAACAAAGTCAGTCAGATGCAGTGGCTCACACCTGTAATCCTAGCACTTTGGGAGGCCAAGGCCAGCAGATCACCTGAGGTCAGGAGTTCGAGTCCTGCCTGGCCAATGTGGTGAAACCCCATCTCTACTAAAAATACAAAAATTAGCCGGGCATGGTGGTGGGAACCAGTAATCCCAGCTACTCAGGAGGCAAAGGTTGCAGTGAGCCGAGATCATGCCATTGCACTCCAGCCTGGGTGACAAAGGGAGACTCCATCTCAAAAAAAAAAAAAAAAAAAAAAGAACAAAGCCTCCAGGAAGTTTGAGATAATGTTGAACAACCGAACATAAGAATAATTGGTGTTCCTGAGGAAGAAGATAAATCTAAAAGCTTGGAAAACATATTTGATGGAATAATCGAGGAAAATTCCCCCAGTGTTGCTAGAGATCTAGACAACTAAATACAAGAAGCTCAAAGAACACCAGGGAAATTTATCACAAAAAGATCATCACCTAGGCACATAGGCATCAGGTTATCTAAAGTTAAGACAAAGGAAAGAATCTTTTTGAGACTGAGTTTTAACTCTTGTTGCCCAGCCTGGAATGCAATGGCGTGGTCTTGGCTCACTGCAAGTTTCACCTCCCAGGTTCAAGCAATTCTCTTGCCTCAGCCTTCCAAGTAGCTGGGATTACAGGTGCCTGTGACCATGCCTGGCTAATTTTTGTGTTTTAAGTAGAGACAGGGTTTCACCATGTTGTCCAGGCTGATCTCAAACTCCTGACCTCAGGTGATCCGCCCATCTCAGCCTCCCAAAGGGCTGGGATTACAGGCGTGAGCCACTGCGCCCAGCGACAAAGGAAAGAATCTTAAAAGCCATGAGGCAAAAGTATCAGGTAACCTATAAAGGAAAACCTATCAGACTAACAGCAGATTTTTCAGCAGAAACCCTAAAAGCTAGAAGGGATTGGGGCCCTATCTTTAGGCTTCTTAAACAAAATAATTATCAACGAAGAATTTGGTATCCAGCAAAACTAAGCTTTGTAAATGGAGGAAAGATAGTCTTTTTCAGACAAACAAAGCTGAGAGAAATCACCACTACCAAACCAGCACTATGGGAATTGCTAAAAGGAACTCTAAATCTTGAAACAAATCCCCAAAACACACCAAAATAGAACTTCCTTAAGCATAAATCTCACAGGACCTATAAAACAAAAACACAAGGGAAAAAAACAAGTTATTCAGGCAACAAATAGCACAATAATAGAATGGTACCTCACATCTCAATACTAATGTTGCATGTAAATGGCCTAAATGCTCCACTTAAAAGATTCAGATTGGCAGAATGGATAAGAATTCACCAACCAACTATCTTCTGTCTTCAAGAGACTCACCTAATACATAAGGACTCACATAAACTTAAGGTAAGGGGGTGGAAAAAGATATTCCATGCAAATGGACACCAAAAACCAGCAGAAGTAGCTATTCTTATATCAGACAAAACAAGCTTTAAAGCAACAGCAAGGAACATGATAGGATGATAAAAGGACTTGTCCAACTGGAAAATATCACAATCCTAAATATATATCTATCTAACACTGGAGCTCCCAAATTTATAAAACAATTACTACCAGAGCCAAGAAATGAGTAGCAACACAATAATTTGGGGGACTTCAATACTCCACTGACAGCACTAGACAGGTCATCAAGAGAGAAAGTCAACAAAGAAACAATGGATTTAAACTATACCCTGGAAAAAATGGACTTAACAGATATTTACAGAACATTCTACCAAACAACTACAGACTATACATTCTATTTATCAGCACATGGAACTTTCTCTAAGATAGGCCATATGATAGGCCACAAAACAACTCTCAATAAATTTGAGAAAATTGAAATTATATCAAGTACTCTCTCGGACCATGGTGGAATAAAATTGGAAATCAACTCCAAAAGGAACCCTCAAAACCATGCAAATACATGGAAATTAAATAACCTGCTCCTGAATGATTGCTGGGTCAACAAAGAAATCAAGATGGAAATTTAAAAATTTTTTGAACTGAATAATAGTGACACAACCTATCAAAGCCTCTGGGATACAGCAAAGACAGTGCTAAGAGGAAAGTTCATACCCTTAAATCCCTACATCGAAAAGTCTGAAAGAACACAAAATCTAAGGTCACACCTCAAGGAACTAGAGAAACAAAAACAAGCCAAACGCAAACCCAGCAGAAGAAAGGAAATAACCAAGATTGGAGCAGAATTAAATAAATTGAAAACAAAAGAAATTCAAAGATAAATGAAACCAAAAGCAGGTTCTTTCAAAAAAATAAAATTGATAGACCATTAGCAAGATTAACCAGAAAAGAAGAGAGAAGATCTAAATAAGCTCAATTAGAAATGGAATGGGAGATATTACAACTGATATCACAGAAATACAAAAGATTATTCAATGCTACTATGAACACCTTTATGCACATAAACTAGAAAACCTAGAGGAAATGGGTAAATTCCTGGAAATATACAACCCTCCCAGATTAAACCAGGAAGAAATAGAAACTGAACAGGCCAATAACCAGCAGTGAGATTGAAATGGCAATAAAAAAACTGCCAACAAAAAAAGTCCTGGACCAGATAGATTAACAGCTGAATTCTATCAGACATTCAAAGAATTGGTACCAATTCTATTGACACTATCTGATAAGATAGAAAAAGAGGAAATCCTCCCTAAATCAGTCTATGAAGCCAGTTCACTCTAACACCAAAACCAGGAAAGGACATAACAAAAAAAGAAAACTAGAAACCAATATCCCTAATGAACATAGATGCAAAAATCCTCAACAAAATACTAGCAAACCAAATCAAACAGCATATTGAAAAGATAATCCACCATGACCAAGTGGGTTTCATACAAGGGATGTAGGGATGGTTTAACGTACACAAGTCAATAAATGTGATACACCACATAAACGGAATTAAAAACAAAAAATCACATGATCTCTCAATAGATGCAGAAAAAGCATTTTACAAAATGTGGCATCATGTTATGGTTTAAATCCTCAGCAAAATCAGCATAGAAGGAACATACCTTAACGTAATAAAAGCCATCTATGACAAACCCACAGCCAACATTATACTGAATGAGAAAAAGCTGAAAACATTCCCCCTAAGAACTGGAACACAGCAAGGATGCTCACTCTCACCACTTCTATTCAACATAGTATTGGAAGTCCTAGCCAGAGCAATCAGACTAGCCAAAGAAATAAAGTGCATCCAAATTGGTAAAGAGGAAGTCAAAGTCAAACAGTCGCTGTTTGCTGATGATATGATCATATACCTAGAAAACCCTAAAGACTCCTCCAAAAAGCCCCTAAAACTTATAAATAAATTCAGCAAAGTTTCAGGATACAAAATTAATGTACACAAATCAGTAGCTCTGCTATACAACAACAGCAACCAAGCTGAGAATCAAATCAAGGACTCAACCCCTTTTACAATAGCTGCAAAAAAAATAAATAAAATACTTAGGAATATACCTAACCAAGGAGGTAAAAGAGATCTAAAAGGAAAACTACAAAACACTGCTGAAAGAAATCACTGATGACACAAACAAATGGAAACACATCTCATGCTCATGGATAGGTAGACTCAATATTCAAAAAAAAAATGACCATACTGCCAAAAACAATCTACAAATTCAATGCAATTCCCATCAAAATACCACCATCATTCTTTAAAGAACTAGAAAAAAAAATCCTAAAATTCATATGGAACCAAAAGAGTCCACATAGCCAAAGAAAAGCTAAGCAAAAAGAACAAATCTGGAGGCTTCACAATACCTTACTTTAAACTATACTATAAGGCCATAGTCACCAAAATAGCATGGTACTGGTATAAAAATAGGCAGATAGACCAATGGAACAGAATAGAGAACCCAGAAATAAAGCCCAGTACTTACAGCCAACTGATCTTTAACAAAGCAAACAAAAACATAAAGTGGGGAAAGGACACCCTATTCAACAAATGGTGCTGGAATAACTGGCTAGCCACATGTAGAAGAATGGAACTGGATCCTCATCTCTTACCTTATACAAAAGCAACTCAAGATAGATCAAATACTTAAATGTAAGACCTGAAACCACAAAAATTCTAGAAGATAACATTGGAAAAACCCTTTTATACACTGGCTTAAGCAAAGACTTCATTACCAAGAACCCAAAAGCAAATGTAACAAAACCAAAGATAAATAGATGGGACTTAAACTGAAAAAGTTTCTGCACAGCAAAAGAAACAATTAACAGAGTAAACAGACAACCCACAGAGTGGGAGAAAAATCTTCACAATTTATACTTCCAACAAAGGACTAATATCCAAATGTACAAGGAACTCTAACAAATCAGCAAGAGAAAAACAATCCCATCAAAAAGTGGGCTAAGGACATGAATAGACAAGTCTCAAAAGAAGACATACAAATAGCCAACAAACGTATGAAAAACTGCTCAACATCACTAATGATCAGACAAATGCAAATCAAAATCACAATGCGATGCCACCTTACTCTTGCAAGAATGGCCATAATCAAAAAATGAAAAGATAACAGATGTTTGCATGGATGTGGTGAAAAGGGAACACTTCCACACTGCTGGTGGGAATGTAAACTAGTATAACCACTATGGGAAATAATGTGAAGATTCCTTAAAGAACTAAAAGTAGAACTACTATTTGATCCAGCAATCCCACTGTGGGGTATCTACCCAGAGGAAAAGAAGTCATTATTCGAAAAAGATACTTGCACACCCATGTTTATACCAGCACAATTCGCAATTGCGAAAATATGAAACCAGCCCAAACGGCCATGAATCAACAAGTGGATAAAGAAATTATGATATATGTGTGTGTGTGTGTGTATATATATATATATATATATACGCGCACACACACACATACATACCATGGAATACTACTCAGCCATAAAAAGGAATGAAATAATGGCATTCACAGTAACCTGGATGGAATTGGAGACCATTATCCTAAGTGAAGTAATTCAGGAATGGGAAACCAAACATCGTATGTTCTCACTCGTAAGTGGGAGCTAAGCTATGAGGATGCAAAGGCATTAGAATGATGCAATGGACTTTAGAGACTAGGAGAAAGGGCTGGGGGGAGGGACAAAAAACTATACATTGAATACAGTGTACACTGCACAGGTGACAGGTGCAGCAAAATCTCAGAAATCACCACTGAGGAACTTATCCATGTAACCAAACACCACCTGTTCCCCAAAAACCTATTGAAATAAATAAAATCTATTTTGTTTGATGCTAAAAAAACCTACTAAAACTATTGAGTAAAATTTAAAAGTTTATTTTAAAGTAAAAAAAATACAAAGTTCAGAGTTTACCAACTATATGTAGAAATGTAAAAGATAAGAAACGTGGCATGTGAATTCAATAGGTGCTATGGTCTAAATGTGTCCTCCAACATTCATATGTTGAATCTTTTTTTTTCTTTTGAGACAGGACTCACTCTGTCACTTATGCTGAAGTGTAGTGATGTGATCTCAGCTCACTGCAGCCTCCGCCTCCTGTGTCCAAGCAATTCTCCCACCTCAGCCTCCCAAGTAGCTGGGATTACAGGCACATGCCAACATGCCTGGATAATTTTTGAGTTTTTTGGGTAGATACAAGGTTTCATTATGTTGCCCAGGATGGTCTCAAAGTCTTGACCTCAAGTAATCTACCCGCCTCAGCCTCCCAAAGTGCTGGGATTACAGGTGTGAGCCACCACACCCAGCCCACATGTTGAAATGTAATCATCAATGTGATAATATTAAGAGGTGAAGTCTTTAGGGGGTGATTAAGTAATGAGGGCTTAGTGCCTTATAAAAGGGCTTATGGGACTGAGTCTGTCTCTTCTGCCACATGAGGACACAGCTTCCATTCATAGGAAGCAGTGTTTAAGTCACCATCCTGGAAGTAGAGACTGGTCCCTCCCCAGACACAAAACCTGCTTATGCTTTGCTCTTGGATTTCTCAGCCTCTAGAATGGTGAGAAATAAATTTCTGTTCTTTATAAATTGTCCATCTCAGGTATTTTGTTATAGCATCACTGACAGACTCAGAGAGTAAGGAAATGATAAATTATTTGAAAAGCACTCTAAAACACAGACTGTATTTTGAAGAACAGAGTCAGGTTCATGCCATGTGCAAAAGTAATGTCTAAACAAAAAATGCAATATAAAATACTATTTAAAAGGATATTTTTGAAAGCCTATAACACAGAAGGCCTTCTAAGCAAAATACATCATTTTAAAATGAGATCAAAAAAATGAGAGATTTGAATATATACATCCTTACTACTAAACAGTTAAATAAATGATAATCAAAATTAGAAGGTGAGTGACAGACTGTAATACAATATATACAATACAAGCAACTGGGAAAAAAGTATTTAGAAAACAGTTCCTGAAAATTAATATGAGAAATTAAGCAACCAAGCAGAAAAAATGAGCTAAGTATATGGAAAAGTAACTCACAGAAGAAATATAAGTGACTAGTCAGTATTTTAAAAGGTAAAATACTTCACCATTGATCAGGAAAATTAAATGAAAATAACAATTTTTTTCACCCAATTGCTTAGTAAAAATTAAATTGATTAATAATCAGTTTTGCCTAGGATATTGGTATAGAGAAGACTCATACTACCAGTATAATTTTAAATTAGATCCCTATTTATTAGTGTGACTTGAAAGTCTCTATGAAAAGCTTAAATGTACAGACCTTAGACTATTAAGCTCTGTTTCTCAGAATCTATCCTGAAAAAATACTTAGTATGTATAGGAAAAACTTTTGCTGCATTGTTTGAAATACAGCACTGAATACTTATCAATTGTGGTATCATATTATTGAATGTCACAAAATCATTTTATATGTTCTGACATGCAAAAATGACCATAATAAATTGATACATGAAAAAAGTTATGCTTAGAATATAAAGTATGATTACATTTTGTTTCTAAAATGCTTAGAAACTATTGAGTGTGCATGGATATGCTCATATGAATCAAAGCATGAGATAAAAAGCAAACCATGAATCAGAAAAATAAATATCAACAATATGGCTGAGTCTGAGTGTTTTGCACAATTTAATGTTTTTTTAGCCATTGAATCTATTGTTCACATTAAATTTTATACAAAATTTTGAAAAGCAAAAGGGAAAAGAAAGCAGAGCTTCTGTTATCGAAACAAGCACTATCCTGTCCCAACAGCCTGAAGCTCCTCTGAGGAACTCCTAGAACTCCTTGGGAAGAAGGTTTGAAAATCACTATGTCTGGCTTAATGCTGATATGCACTAGCAAAGCCTTTCTTGCTTCCTTCTTTTCCACTGCTCCCAGGAAATAGTCAATTACAAAACAATGGCATCCTATGTATTTAGCAACATATTTATATTCAAGAACAACAACAGTGAAAGCAAAAGAAAGGAGAGAGAGAAACCACAGGAATCATTGTTCCATATGACTCCATTCCTGCTTCTACTTGGAAGCCAGGGCCCTACGTAAAGTTAGTGTAAGAGGCAAGAGGTGAAAATGCCATTGATTATTCAGTCTTAGTTCCCAAGTGCTCTCATGGTGTACGTTTCTTGTCATAGTGAATATAATTCTAATATTTAAAAATCCTTTCTTTTTGAATTAAATTACAGGAATGTGTCCCAATGCTGGAGAAGATTATAACTGGGTTGGACTTAGTGAAAGATGAAAATGTTGGTCTTCACTAGCTTTTTCATACGCAATTTTCAAGAGAAAAATTAACTATACAAATTTTTGCCTTTCCCACAACTTGAAATCTACCTGATTCCCATGTAACATGCATTCTCCGCTATATCAAAGGTGGAATTTTAAATCTAGTCAAAGATCAAAGTGGAGAGTTCATTTGAACTAACTATAGGGCAGCAGCCCTCAAAGAGATAAAGGCTGAATCGGAGCAGAGACTTAAGGCTCAGTCATAAATACCATAGAACAAATTGACTCGGACGAGACATGATGGAACTGTAGAGACAGCCAGAGGGAGTCCATCTGGGGAGCTTAGCACAAATCAGAGAACATGGTGTCTGGCGAGAATTTATCATCAGGTTAGGTGCCTGCGGATAGGTGCCCCAAGGACAGATGCATGCTGATGAAGAGTCCAGAACCAGAAAATATGCAGCGATTCCAGCAAGTGACTAGCGTCACAAAGGTGTGGTGCTAAGAGGGTCCAGGCACAGAACTGACATTCAGGGTTAGTGTTTAAGCAAGGCAGAGTCTCAGTCTGAGTAAGACAATCTAACCAGCAGTCAGGAATGTCGGTATGAGACAGGGGCTCCAAACCAAGGCCGACCACCTCCACTCCCCACCGCAGGGACACTTAGCAATGTCTGGAGACACTTTGGTTGTCACATCTGGGGGTACTACTGACATCTAGCAGATAGAGCCCGGTTATGCTACTGAACGAGAAATGACAGAACAGCCCCATCCACCCACCCACCCACCCACCCCTGACACACACATACATACAACAAAGATGTGCATCTCAAAAAAAAAAGTCACTGTTAAGAAACCCTGGTATAGGGAATCAGATAAAACCATAGTTATGGGAACTATGACAAAAAAATCCGGGAACAGGAGTTCTCATGAACAAGGCAGAAATGTGTAAAGGAAGCAAGAGTAATACAACAAACTCGAGTCGGAACTGAGTTACCTGAGCTGTCAAATAGGCTCTTTCATCTCCTTCTGATTAAGGACTATGCAGGTCTTAGGACCCCAAGGAAAAGGCATTCCAGTGGGTTGATCCCTGCTTCACCACTTACTAGCAGAGTGGCCTTGGGCGATTTATTTAATCCCTATACCTCAATTTTCTTTTCTGTAAAATAGGAATAAATAATAGCATCTGCACCCAGAATTGCTATGAGACTAAAATAAGATAAGGCATGATAAGTACTTCTAACATTATGCCCAGCTTATATTACATGGTGGGTAGTTGAGAGCTGGAGATGGGATTCAAATAGTCCAGCTTAGGAAAAGTCTTGAAAATGGAAAAGAGAGAAAAGCAGGGCATTACCACTCCAATCCCCCCAAAAATTACCTGGCAGAGGGTTTTCAGGAAAAAAATTTAATCAGGAATCAGATTTACTAAAATCCAGAATTTTATCATGGGTTAAACTAACAAGAATACCAGAAGGAAAGTGCTCTGATATACAAGGACCTTGTTTAAATTGCTTCAGTCTTTAACTCCTATAACAAGGCTAAACTCCTTTTTTCCTAGAGTGGCTAATTCCAGTACTCTGTTCTCAGCACTGTATCCTGAAATATTCTGGGCCTGATATCTTTTTTTTACTAAATCAAAGATATTCTGGAATGCATTCAATCCCCCTTCTTCTCAAGACATTAAAATACAACGCCAGACTACGGCCTTGGGCATCTAACACAGATGAATTAAGAACTCTGACCATAAAGGCTCTGCTTGTCCTGTTCTACTGCATGATTAGTTTTCTGGAATTTACATAATGAGAAACAAAAGAGAAAACAAAATGAGAGGAAATGGAAAGTCTTTATATTGTGTATTTGTTCCTAAAAGTAGTTTGGCTGGGGTTTCCATCCCCCTGCTGGATCCCCAGACAGATGGAAGGGAACCACCAACATATGCTGGAACTTCATCATCATAAAGATGCCAGTAGAGAAAAAGTCACATCAAGGCCTGTTACCTTGGATCCCATCTGGAAAAAAAAAAAAAAAAAAGAGACAGACAGCAAAATTCTAAAAGGCCGTTCCTATAATATGTTTGGCCTCTGAAGCGCTCCTTCAGCGTGAACCACAAAAATGTCATTCAAAACGTTCCAAAATAGTGTCTCCTACGTTAAAGGAAATGAATATTATCAATCACCAAACACGGAAGTCTTTATACAGTTGAGTAGATGTGTGTATTTGGAAAAAGTGTACTGGTTCACCCAACTGACATATATATGTACCCTTAAACAGTTTAAGATCCAGGATATGATGATTAATATCATGTAACAACTTGATTGGATTGAAGGATACCTAGATAGCTGATAAAGTGTTGTTTCTGGGTGTGTCTGTGAGGGTGTTGCCAGAGGAAATTAACACCTGAGTCAGTAGAAGAGGAAGACCCACCCTCAATCCGGGTGGGCACCATCCAATTGGCTGCCAGCGCAGCTAGAACAAAAGCAGGTGGAAGAAGGTGGGATAAGCTGCCTCCTGAGTCTTCTGGATTTCATATTTCTCTCGAGCTGAGTGCTTCCTGCCCTTAAACATCAGACTCCAGGTTCTTTGGCTCTTAGACTCTTGAACATATCCCATTGGTTTGCCAGGGGCTCTCAGGCCTTTAGACACAGACTGAAGGCTGCACTGCTAGCTTCCCTACTTTTGAAGCTTCGGGACTTGGACTGAGCCACTACTGGCTTCCTTGCTCCTCAGCTTTAAGACGGCCTATTGTGGGACTTCATCTTGTGATCATGTGAGTCAATTCTCCTTAATAAACTTCCTTTCATATATTAGTTCTGTCCCTCTGGAGAGCCCTGACTAATACAAAGGAACTTCACCATTATAAGATGCCAGTCTTTATCATGGGCAATATCTGTGCGGCATGATCACCTGACAAGTTTTGTTTTGTTGGTTTTTTTTTTTTTTTTGAGAGGGAGTCTTGCTGCGTCACGCAGGCTGAAGTCCAGTGGTGTGATCTCAGCTTACTGCAACTTCCGCCTCCCAGGTTCAAGCGATTCTCCTGCCTCAGCCTCCCAGATAGCTAGGAGTATAGGCGTGCCACCACGCCCTGCTAATTTTTGTATTTTTAGTAGAGAAGAGGTTTCACCATGTTGGTCAGGCTGGTTTAGAGCTCCTAACCTCAAGTGATCCACCTGCCTTGGCCTCCTAAAGTGCTGGGATTACAGGTGTGAGCCACCACGCCCGCCCAGCCTGACAAGTTCAATTGGTTCAGGTGTTCTGCTTGCCTTCCTTTGAGTGTTAAGGGTGAAAGAAAGGCAATAGGGACCTTGGATTACTAATTATTTTTTAGGAAATGGCCATAATTTTGGGTCATAACCATTAATAATAACAAGTAACATTTCTACTGTTTTACAGTTTTACCACATTTTCCTATATACCATCTAATTTGAGCTCAATATGAGTCCATTTTATAGCTTTCAGGAAACTGAGGCTCTGAGAAGTTAAGTGACTCACCCACGGTCAAACAGCTAGAAAGTAATAAAAAGGGGCTGTCACGTAAATCTACCTGATTTCACATCTAATGCTTGTGATTCCATATATGATATTACTGTCCAGCATCTTTTCTTTCAGTCAAAAAATAAGAGGGGCAGGGAAAAAGAAGCCTGTCTCACCTGAGAGGCTACCTACCCACAACCCTTTCTACTGTACCCGCAGGAAGAGAAAATTTTACAGCTTCCTCCCCACCTTTCATCATCACTGTGGAAGGACTTTACAATGTAATACAAATTTCTCATTCCTGAATATTTTTCCCACTCTCAGTCACACTGCGAATACTGCTTTCTAAAGGTTATCAGTGAAATTATTTTATATCACCATGTCACATCTAGTTCATAATGTATTCCAGAATTAAACAACTTAGGTCCTCCTATTAGTCTTCATTTGCACTTAGGTCAAATTGGAAACTACAAATTTTGAATTGTGTCCATGTCATTATTTGAAAAATAACTCTTTAATGTTACTCAGGATGGATGGATGGATGGATGGATGGATGGATGGATGGATGGATGGACAGACAGAACAGAATTCAACTTTGGAGAGAAATCTGTGTTGGTGTGTGGGTATGTATTTCTGTATCTGTGTCTGAGAGACAGAAGAGCCCTCTACAACAAAGAGAGAGAAAGAGAGAATTCAAGCTACTTTTAAAATGCAAAAAGATTTCAGAATATAAATTCCAAGGTTGAAAGTGAAAATCACTTATTTTTAACCAGAGTAGTGACAACCAATCTTTGATATGCCAAATATCACAGGTAAATTGTTTAAGATTTTACTACTATACTGTATATTTATTTAGAATAATTTTTCTTTATTGAAGATACATTTAAATCTTTAAGGTATGCTCACAGTTTCCTTTGGTGTTAAATTATAAAATAAATATGTGCAATTAAGGCAATAGCAGAGCTGTGTATTGTAATTGTTATGAGTAATGACTGATTCATTATGTTTGACATAATAATTGTAACTTTAATACTAACATTATCTTCAAAACATCTTGTAAACCATTTGACATTTTAAAAATTCCTCAGAGACCATATCAACAATTAAATTCCACAAGCCTTAGTGACACTTTATATGTATTCTATTAGCTAATTAACTTCTATTTAAGTAACTTGAAAAAAGATTGAGAAGTTATCTGTTATGAAAACAAAATCTGAAGAATACTTTTTGTGGCTTTAGGATGGCAAATTTTTTATTTACTATTCTTTGCTTAAATCCCCTTTATTATTTGGAAGTGTACTATCCAGACCCATCTTTAATTCTCCTCATGGTTTGGCCTTATGTTATTTAAGGAGAGAATTATTAGCCTTCAATAGCCAAAGTGAGGGCTGAATTGCTTTTGTAAAGAAAGACTTTCTTCAGCTGTAATAAACATCAGCACTGTCTGCCAGTGCTTCAGTGCCTTAGGCTGTGGATCTTTGTGGAGGTGGTAGTAGTTTTGCTGGTGTCAGTGCTGTAGTGATGTAGGACATATGCTACCAGTACAGCTACTTCAAAATCCACATTCCTGTAAAATGGGTTATATGGGTTAAAGGGAGTAAGAGATCTGAGTATCATATCTTAACAAATGAGAAATCCTTTTCCCATTTTTTCCTTTCTTCTCTATTTGTATTAATACAATAATAATAATTTACTAAGCACTTACTATCTTCCAGACAATGTGCTAAGAGCTCTGTATACATTCATTCACTTAATAAATACAAAACTCTATAGAGTGAGTATTTTTATTATCTTGATCATTGTCATGATAGCATCATCATTATTAATATTCTCATTTTATAAATAAAGAAATTAAGGTTCAGGGAGGTTAAATAATTTGCAAAAGATGAGACAGAGCCAAGAGAGAAAGCTAGGTCCATCTGATCAGAGGGTCCATTATTCTAACCATTACAGGGATTCTTAAACACTGGCAGACATCCTAAGGACCAACCCACTCAGCAGCCCCATCCCCAGCAATGCCACTCTTGTGCCCAGCAGAATGGCCACACTTTGCATGCACCCTACAGGGCCTAAGGACTGGACCACCCAGCAGCACTGACACTAGCAAAACTGTACTACCACCTCCACAAAGATCCACAGCCTAAGCCACTGAAGTGCTGGCAGACACTGCTGATGTTTATTACAGGTGAAGAAAGTCTTTCTTTACAAAAGCTACTTTATAAAATTGGAAGAGGCAGCTGTTCCACCAGATGTTCTGACATCAATGTAGGGATACAGAAACATGAAAAAGCAAAGAAACATGACACCTCCAAAAGAATACAATAATTCTCCAGTAACAGACTCCAAAGAAAAGGAAATGTATGAAATGCATGAAAAGGAATTTAAAATAATAATCTTAAGGAAATTCAGTGAAGTACAAGAAACTACAGATAGACGATTCAATGAAATCAGGAAAACAATTCATGATATAAATGAGAAATTCAACAAGAGATGGATATTATAATAAAGAACCAAACAGAAATCGTAGAGCTGAATAATTCATTTAATGAAATTAAAAATACAATTGAGAACTTCGATAGACCAGATCAAGCAAAAGAAATAATTTCTGAACTTGAAGACAGGCCTTTTAAAATAATTCAGTCAGATCAAAAAAAAAGGAAGAATAAATTTAAAAGAATAAAGAAAGCCTAAGGGACTTACGGGACACCATTAAGTGAATGAATATACTCATTATCGGAATTCTAGAAGGAAAAGAGATGAGAAAAGGAATAGAAAACCTATTTAACAAATAACAGCTAAAAACTTTCCAAGTGTTGGAAGATATATACACATCCAGAACCAGGAAGCTCAAAATCCCCAAATAAATTCAATCCAAAAAGGTATTCTCTGAGGCACGTTATAGTCAAACTGTCAAAAGTCAAAGACAGATAATTCCAAAAATACAAAGAGAAAAGTGTCAAGTCATACATAAGGGAATCCTGATTAGACTATCAGCAGATATGTCTGCAAAAATGTTACCGGCATAGAGAGAATGAAATGATATATCTAAAGTGTTGAAAGAAAAAAAAACTGTTAATCAAGGATACTGTACCCAGAAAAACTATCTTTCAGAAATGGGGAAATAAAGTCTTTCCCAGACAAGCAAAAGCTGAGGGAACTCACCACCACTAGAGCAGCCTTACAAGAAATACTTAAGAGAGTGCTACAATTGGAGGTGAGAGGATAATAACTACCATCATGAAAATAAGTGAAAGTATAAAAATCATTGGTAGAGGTAAATTCAAACTCAAATTCAGAACTAGTAGAGGTACATTCACGATCAAATTCAGAATATTCCATGAATACAATGACAGAATACGGAAATCCTTAGTATGAATACTAAAAGACAAAATAGTCAGTGATAACTATAGCTATAATAAGATGTTAAGGAACACACACTGTAAAAAATGTAAATTAAGGTAAGAAAATCATAAATTGTTGAGGGGAAGATAGAAGTCTAGAGTATTTGTATGCAACAAAAGTTAAGTTGCTTTATTTATTTAACAAATAGTACCTGCCAATTAACACACCAGACACAAATTATATGTATAAATTTTACAGCAGAAAAGTACCTGAAAAGTTATTTATTTCAAATCCTTGATTTTACAGCTGAGGAGAAACCCCAAGTGGTCAAATTATGTAATGATATTCTATTTGTTAGTACAGACTGAGTACCCCTAATCCAAAAATCTGAACTCCAAAATGTTTCAAAATCTGACACTTTTTGAAGCCAACTTGACACCAAAAATGGAAAAATCCACACCTGGCTTCATGTGACAGATCACAGTCAAAACGCTGGTGCATAACACTTAATTTATTCAGTATCCTCAAGGGGACAAAGACCCTCCCATGCATGCCCAGATTTCCCCCACAAAAGCATGCCCACAAAGGGTAATAAAATTGGATGTGTGCAGGCTAGACATGCCAATGGCAGATTTCCCACAATACCCCACATGGGGCAAAGACCCACATGCATTACTCATTGTGTTTTTTGTTTGTGTGTTTGTTTGTTTTGCTTATTTTATGCTCTGTGGTGGAAAGATATTGTCTAAAATGTCTAAAACTATTCAAATTAATAAACAAATTCAATGAAGTTTCAGGATACAAAATCAACATACAAAAATCACTAGCATTTCTACACATCAATACTGAACTATCTGAGAAAGAAATCAAGAAAATAATCTCATTTGCAATCACTATAAAAAAAAACCTAAGAATAAATTTAACCAAGGAGGTGAAAGATCTCTGCAATGAAAACTAGAAAACATTAATGAAAAAAAATTGAAGAGGACACAATTAAATGGAAATATATCCCAAGTTCATGAGTTGGAAAAATATTATGTCCATGCTACCCAAAGCAGTCTACAGATTTAATGCAGTCTCTATCAAAATATAAATGACATTCTATACAGAAATAGAAAAAACAATCCTAAAACTCATATGGAACCACAAAGTACCCCAAATAGCCAAAGCGACTTTGGGAAAAAAAAAAAAAAAAAACTGGAGGCATCACACTACCTGCTTTCAACTCATACTACAAAGCTATTATAACCAAAACAGCTTGGTACTGGCATAAAAATAGATATAAACCAATGGAACAGAATAGAGAATGCAGAAATAAGTTCACACACCTACAACCAATTTTTGCACCTACAACCAGTTTTTGACAAAGGCACCAATAACACACATTGGGGAAATGACAGTCTCTTCAATAAGTGGCACTGTGAAAACTGGATATCCACATGCAGAAGAATTAAACTAAACCTATATCTCTCACTATATGCGAAAATCAACTCAAAATGGGTTAAAGACTTAAATATAAGACCTGAAACTATAAAACTACTGGAAGAAAACAGGGAAAATGCTTCATGACATTGGTCTGGGCAAGGAACTCTTTGGATAAGAACCCAAAATCACAAGCAACAAAGGCAAAAATAGACAAAGGGAATGCCATCAAACTAAAAAGTTTCTGCACAACAAAGGAAATAATCAACAAAGTGAAGAGACAACCTACAGAATGGGAGGAAATATTCACAAACTGCATCTGACAAGAAGCCAGTATCCTGATAATGTAAGGAATTCAGACAAAACAATGAAATAGCAAAAAAGCAAATAATCTGACTTTGAAAATGAGCAAAGAATAAGAATAGATGTTTCTGAAAAAAAGACATACAAATGGCCAACAGGTAAATGAAAAAAAGTTCAACATTACTAATCATCAGGGAAATGCAAATCAAAACCACAATGAGATATTACCTCATCCCAACTAGAATGACTGTTATCAAAAAGACAAAAAATGACAAATACTGGTATGGATGTGGAGAAAAGGGAAAGCTTATACACTGTTGGTGAGAATGTAAATGGGTATAGCTACTATAAAAAAAAAAAAAACAGCATGGAGGCCGGGCACAGTGGCTCACACTTGTAATCCCAGCACTTTGGGAGGTCGAGGCAGGCAGATCATGAAGTCAGGAGATCGAGACCATCCTGGCTAACACAGTTAAACCCTGTCTCTACTAAAAATACAAAAAAATTAGCCAGGCATGGTGGCATGCACCTGAAGACTCAGCTAGTTGGGAGGCTGAGGCAGGAGAATCGCTTGAACCCGGGAGGCGGAGGTTGCAGTGAGCCAAGATTGCACCACTGTATTCCAGCCTGGGCAACAGAGCAAGATGCCGTCTCAAATTTAAAAAAAAAAAAAAAAAACAGCATGGAGATTCCTCAAAAAATTAAAATAGAACTATCATCTGATCCAACAATCCCACTACTGGGTATTTATCCACAGGAAATGAAATCAATATGTCAAAAAAAAATATCTGCACCCCACCCCCAAACACCCCGTTTATTGCAGCACTAGTCACAATAGCCAAGATATGGAATCAACTTAAATGTCTATCAACAGAAAAATGGATAAAGAAAATGTAACATGCACAATGGACTACTACTCAGCCATAAGAGAATGAAATCCCATCATTTGCAGCATGGATGAACCTGGAGTTCATTATGTTAAGTGAAATAAGCCAGGCACAGAAAGACAAATGCCCCATGATTGAACTCATTTGTGGATTCTTAAAAAGCTGGTCTTGTAGAAGTAGAGAGTAGGATAGTGGTTACCGGAGTCTGTGGAGGGTGGGGTGAAGGGGATGATGGAGAAAGATTGGTCAACAGGTACAAAATTACAGTTAGATAGGAGGAATAAACTCTGGTGTCTATAGCATAGCAGGGTGACTGTAGTAAATATTACAGAGGATGCTTCAAAATAACTAGAAGAGAGGATTCTGAATGTTCTCACTACAAAGAAAAGATCAATGTTTGAGGTGATAGATATGCTAAATACCACGATTTGATCATTACACAATGTATATACATGTATGAAAATATCACACTGTATTCCATAAATATGTACAATTATGTATCAATTAAAAACAAAAGAAAAAATATAAAAATTAAAAGTTAAAAGGAAGCTTTGATAGGCATCAGCATCACTGATAAAAATGAAGATTTCTGGGCCTCGCCTCACAATTCCCGATTCAGTAGGTCTGGAGAGGATCCCAAGAATTCACATTTCTTATGCGTTCCCAGGTAACACAAATGCTATTTCGTGGTATTTTGAAAGGGCTGCACTCATTATGGAGGGAAGAAGCTTAGTTTAAAAAAATGCTCAGGGACCACACTTTGAGAACCACTGCAGTGCAAAATACTCCCTCCCATGGATCCATGGATGGCACTGTCAAATAAATAACTGGAAATAATTGGAATGTTTATTTATTTTAGCGGATGTTGGCCAATGTCCTCCAGAGAAGTGGATGGGAGAGCTGGGAAATAGGTGCTGCTACTCCTAACAGGTTTTATCACACAAAAACCTAGTCCTATGTAAGATATTTTTTTTTTTTTCAGAGAACCTCCTATCCTCACCAAATTCATAGGAGAGACACTCCCCTAAATTTGTGCCGTTCTTATTCTTTTCTCTGAGAAGCCTTTAACCACTTTTACTCCCCTAAGGATATCACTTATGTGTTCATTTTCCAAATCCCATCTTCAGACATCCCAAATCCGGATCCGTCATTGATGTTGTGTGCAGCATGTGTGCAAAATTGGCAACAGCAACTATGCTGCCATCCTTACAGAAACTTA
Source organism: Homo sapiens (assembly GCF_000001405.40). Lineage (NCBI taxonomy): Eukaryota > Metazoa > Chordata > Mammalia > Primates > Hominidae > Homo > Homo sapiens. The sequence goes on along the minus strand of NC_000012.12, from coordinate 42,820,321 downwards.
CAGGGGCTTTTCCCTGTCGATTAACATGAGCTTGCTCTTCATCCTGTGGGTTTGACAATTGAGCTCTTGATTTATTGCTATGGTAAATTTGCTTATGCTAAAAACTACGCCAAGGCTGAGTTTGGAAGGAGATTTTATGGGCCACGTAGTAAACCCCATAAAATGAGGGTTTAAAACGGAAAATGTTATTCAGAATAATTATGAGCACGTGCAATTGGGCATTGCTATAGCAAACCTTATTTAAATGTTATCCCAAATGAGGCCATCAGAACACGTGTGCTACAGACACAGCCCAAATACTTGGTCAGTGAGTGAAGAAAGCCCACAGTGGCAAAAGGGTGTGACCGCCATCACCATCCCTGTGGCTATTTCCTCATTAGACAGCAATGTATAAGCCTTCTCAAGATGCAGACAAAGGACAAAAAATAATGATCTTTAGTGTAGGGGGAAACACAGAAGAAACATCATCTAAATCAGGAAAAAAAAAAGGATGTCTGGTGGAAAATCTTTTCAAACCCATTTTGAACAAAAATAAACTTCCTATGAATTCAAGAGCTGAAAGGATTTAATTTCTGGGATGCAAACAAATTAAATGTATGAGAACTGTTTACTGTAATGGCTACAATTTATATAATTATAATGATAGGCTACTATTTTTGTTCAACTTCATTTCAATTGAAATAATAGTTTTATGAACAAATCCTAAAGCCCAAGATAACTGATTACTTTATACTCTGGGAGATGAAATGAGTTCTAAATTTTAAATGTTCTTTCCTTTGCTTGAATTATGCAGGTGGAGTCTTTGCTGATAATTCCTGGTATTCATAATAAATAGGTCTACATTTCTCAGTTTCATGGTATTTTGAGAGGGCTGCACTCACTATGGGGGGAAGCAGCTTAGTTTAAAAAATGCTTTAGGCCAGGTGCAGTGGCTCACCCCTGTAATTTCAGTACTTTAGGAGGCCGAGGAGGGCAGGGGTGGATCACCTGAAGTCAGGAGTTTGAGACCAGCCTGACCAATATGGTGAAACCCCATCTCTACTGAAAATACAAAAATTAGCCAGGCATGGTGGCGGGCAACTGTAATCCCAGCTACTTGGGGGGGCTGAGTCAGGAGAATCACGTGAACCAAATAAAATCCTGATATCCAAGGCAAACTATATGAAGAGACAAAGCTTTAAGGCATTTTACTCAACATGCATACATTATTCAATTGTATTTATTTCTGTATCTATTTTTTTACAAAACGTTAGTGTGGACCTCAATCTTCATCTTCTCATTGCATACCTTAATAACAAAAGAATAAATGAAGTTAATATGCACTTGGAAAAAAAAGTTATCACAACATTCAATCTCAGTATATAGTATATGTGCTTAATGGAAAATAAAGACCATATCCAGAACCACAGCATAATTTAGCACCAACACATTCCAGGTTCAAATAAAAATTCCAAATGGATGTGGTAAGACATCTAGTATTTGGTTAAGGCCCTAAATTTGAACTTTAAAAAAAAAAAATTCTGATGTCATTAAATTTGTACCAAACTGAAAGTTTTTTCTTAGGCGGTGGGGGGGGGGGGGACGGTCCATTTTTTTTCATTTTGATATAAAAATATTGGTAATATAAAGGAAAGCACTATAAAAATGCAGAAAGAATCTTAACCCAGGAGTTGTTATCAAATCAACTTTATACCTGACTGCAGTGGGCATGCCACAATCTATTCACTTTTTTTCAACAAATTTCTTTGATCACTACTAAGTGCCAGGCAGTACGCAAGATGAATAAGAAGCAATCCTTGCCCTTAAGAAATATAAAGACTAGTAAAGGGATAGAGTGACATACATGAATAGCAGTAATGACGTCGCATCTATGACAGCTGATGCGGTGAAATACAAAGGAGGGAATAGTGATTCTACCAGATGATGGATGAGGAAGGTGAGGAAATGTTTCAGGAATTTTCAGCTTCACAAAGAAGGAGACCCTTGAACTAAACATGGAAAGTTGTGTAGGTGTTCACCAGGGAAGCAAGATGTTCTCTAGGTAAAAAAAAAAAAAGAGGAAGGCTAATGGGGAGCATAAAAAGGCAGGATGCATGAAATAGTATTCAATTTATTCAATTAATTACAAACAGTCTAGTGCAACTACATCACAGTACACAAAAAGAAATACAGAAAGGGATGAGACTGGAGAGGTAAATTGGGGTCAAATTGCAGAGTAGTCTATGATAAGGGTTTGGGTTTTCATCTTAAGAACACTGAGTAGTCATTGAAAAGTTTTAAGCAAGGGAGAGACATAATCAGATCCAGGTTTTATAAAGATCCTTCTAGCATCTCTTTGAGAATAGATTGGAAAAATCAAACCTAGAGACGGAAGGATATTGAAACAATCCAGTTTGGAGACAAGAAGATAACAAGTGCCAAACAAGGGCAATAAATTGAGAATAGGGACTGGAGGAAGGTAGAAGCAATTGACTTTAGCACTTGATTGGCTGAAGGAAATGAGGTATAAGGAAAAGCAGGGTCATCAACAACTCCTAAATTCTTAAGGGGACAGTGCTTCTGTTTTCTAAGATACGGAATTCAGGAGGAGGAAATACTTCTAAGATACGGAACTCAGGAGGAGTAAAATGCAATGCACTTAGGTTTGGACATTCTGAGTTTGTGGAAACTGTGGAGCATCCAGGTGACTATGGGAGAAGATCAATATTTTCAGGGCTGAGACTGGGCATCAGAACCTCTAGGCTGTTCTCTACATCAAATGTCAGGCACAGTCATTCACAGTTTAGATGCCATAGCACAGTTGGTCAGTCCACCCCCAATAAAACCAAAGTTTCTTCTAATGTTAATATTTAAAGAAAATGGATAAATTCAGTGAAGGTTAAAAGTAAGGTGGTCTTGCTCAATTGAAGGTGAAACAGAATGGGAAAGATGGCAGAAACATTCCAAGAACAGACCCATTATTCCCATATTCTTCCTATACCTAATGTAGCTGCTTATTAGTTATTTGAATGCCAAGGTCATCTTATACCATCGGACTAGACCATGCCCTGGACCCTAGTTAAACAAGACTTTGCTTCAGAATTTGGTCCACACTATGATAGTCTGATCAAAAGAGCCTTGAATTACCTTATTCCTCCATCTGACTTCAGACCCTGTGCCTGCGTTCTCCTATGGGATGGCCCCTAATCTTCCAGATAGACTACGAAATTTCTCACCCCTATGCTCTAGCTGGGTACCTGACTTTCCCAAACCAGTCATCTGCCCAGGAAACCCTTCTCCAGCACCAACTACAAGCATTAGTTATTTGAATGCTTGTAGTTGAAAACATAGCCAGTATATTTTAGAATTTAAAACACCTATTAAACACCCTAGTGAAAGATAGTTTTACTCCATCTATAGAAAAGCGAGCTAATTCATTAGAAGTTTGTAGATAGATGCAGCACACATAAGCAAATAAAGTAGCATTAATCAAATATATACATTAAATGTGTACAATAAAGTTGCCAAGGAGACCACCTATATCCAAAGACCACCTTCCAAAATAGCTAAGGGTGCTGAGAATGTCATTTACTTCCCATCAGAGAAATGTATTTTGAACCTGCCTTAAGAGACCAGCTGCCTAACATGAATGCAGGCCCTTTACCCAGTGCGTTAGGCTATTAAAAAAAAAAAAAAAAAAAAAAAAACTTTTAAGAAAAAAATGTAGAGCCTAGCCAGCTCTAGCTTCACATATGCCTGTCTCCATAAGCAATGATTTTCTTAAAACCACCCCACATGAAGTTTTAAGTGTTCCTTCTGAGTTGTTAGACTCCTGGGTACTAAGACAACAGGCTTCCAGCTGTTCCACAAACTGAAGTGATGCCCAACAGTGGTTCTATTGATCTATGGCCAACCTTGCTACGGGTTTCCTGGGTTCAACTGTGGGGACCCCACTCCATACAAGATCACTCCAGAAAATCCTTGAGCTAATTTGGGGGATGTTCAGAGCCAACTATATTGACTCTGGCATAATTATAGGTATGAGGCCCCAAAGAATCATTCTATGCGTGTTGGAAGCATAAACTATAGAGAGTACTGTTAAAGCAAAGACCACCTGCCAGAAAGACCACTTAATTTTAAAACCCAGGGTGGTCTCCATATGCAGATTTCATAGTTTTACGTTATGAGCAACAAAAGGTTAAATATGTTGTGCTGGGTGGTATGTTAAGAGTGAGCATGCTGAATAAAAGTGGAGTCAGAAAGAAAATTCCACCTAATTATTTAAAGAAATAAACTTCAAGCAACACAGCAGCAAACAAGAGCGGTAATTGAGCCTACCTACCACTAGAAATCAGAGTTGCTGTGGAGGGGGTCAATTCAAAGGAAAAGGTTCAGGTACTAGAACAAGAAACACAGTAGGCCTTCCCTACTCAAGGGTTACTTACTGAGGAGCCCACCTCCCTTTGCCAATTCTTTCTCAGATGTTACTGGCCAATGGGATGCCACAGAAATGCATAGGTAAATGCTTAACAAGTTGTAACCTTTGAAGACTAAGATAAACATGACTACAGATACATATACCTAATAATAAAACGTTATAAGTAAATCTAAATTAGTGACAGGCAAATGGGCAAGGGGTGTCTGCTGAAGTGTATACACCTATTAAAAAAATTTTAACAAAGAATCATGACCAGGCCCAGTGGCTCACACCTGTAATCCCAGCATTTTGGGAGGCTGAGGCAGGAGGATCACTTGAATCCAGGAGTTCAAGACCAGTCTGGGCAACGTACAGAGACCTCATCTCTACAAAAAATAAACAAAATTAGCCAGGTATGGTGGCACAAGCCTGTGGGTCCAGCTGCTCAGATGGCAGGATCACTTGAGCCCAGGAGGTCAAGGCTTCAGTGAGCCATGATCGTGCCACTGCACTCTAGCCTGGATGACAGAGCAAGAAATTATCTCAAAAAAAGAGAGAAAAATCTCTCTAGGTTCTTAACAATGCTTCTTTTGTTAGTTTCTTTCTCCAGTTATCAAAGGTTACACAGTCTCCACCAAGGAAATGAAAGAAGCCATTCCTCCCAGGCTGCAAGCATAAAAGGTACAGAATTATCCACTACATGTTGCTAGAAGGTTTATTGTTGCTCTTTCTGCATGCTGCCTGTGGGCTCTGCAATGAGCACATGGTAAAAAACATTTCGTTGTGGCCAGGATGTCCTACCTAAAGCAGCCCAACACATTAGGTTTTATAGCTGATCTTTGCACATTGTTAACAAATGCTATGAAACCCAGGAACTCTGCTTTTAAACAGCTGTGAGAATTCACTAACTTCTAATATCTCATCCTAAAAGAGGAGCATGATTAATGAGATCCAATCTGAGCCCTTCCTAGAAACCTAATTTGGAAGTTATGAACCCTTATAAAGATATATTAGCACCTACTTGATACACTGTCTAAATTTTACTTTCAACTGTTGAAATTGCATATCTTACTTTCAACCTCAGACCAGGTGGTTTATTTTGGTAAACTGATGGCTTTAAAGGGTTTCAAAATATACCATAAGCTTTTTTATTTGGGATGTTCTGTGTTCAAAATTAATTGGCTAATAAAAGTCAACCTTTTGAATTCACCTTTTAAAAATGGCCCTAGGCCAGGCGCGGTGGCTCACGCCTGTAATCCCAGCACTCTGGGAGGCCGAGGCAGGCAGATCACAAGGTCAGGAGATCAAGACCATCCTGGCCAACACGGTGAAACCCCGTCTCTACTAAAAAATACAAAAAATTAGCCAGGCATTGTGGCAGGTGCCTGAGGCAGGAGAATGGCGTGAACCCGGAAGGCGGAGCTTGCAGTGAGCCTAGATCGCCCCACTGCACTCCAGCCTGGGTGACAGAGAAAACTCCATCTTAAAAAAAAAAAAAAGAAGAAAAAAAAAGGCCCTATTTTCTGAAAGACAGGTCGAGTCACTATTAAATGCATACTGCATAGTGTCCTATAGACATAAGATATTCTGAATTTTATTCTTTCCCAAAAACAATTACCAAAGGAAAAAATACTAAAATTGCCTGCAAGGTACATCTGAGTGATCAAAGTCCTAAATGTTGTAAGGCATATTGTAGGGTCCATGAAACCAGTGATGTTGATATTAGTGGTTCCTGTTTCTGAAACATCACACAATTTCCTTCTTGAAAGCCCAGGTCCTAACAGTGATTTGGCTTTTTAGAAATCCCTGGACACTTAGAAACAAGTTTTAGAGTTGATAAAAATTTAGCTCTAGTTTAACATTGTCATATCAGGGATGAAATAAGCAAAGTCTATCAGGGATGAAATAAGCTAGATTAAATGACTTTCCTGAAATCAAATTAATACTGTGAGTAACCAGCACTTACTGCGTTTATTACGTGCCAGGCACCGTGCTAAATACTTGACGTGATTGTGTCATGTGTGCCTCAAAACAACCCTAGGGAAAAAATGTCATTGTCATTCAGTATTAGTTTTCTATTGCTGCATAACTAATTACCACAAACTTAGCAGCTTAAAACAACACAGATTTATTATCTCACAGTGTCAGTGGTCAGGAATCCAGCGTATCCTAACTGGATTCTCTGCTCAAGGTTGAAATCAAAGGGTGAAATCAGAGTGTAAGCTGGCTGCATCCTCATCTGGAGGCCCACCTAGGGAAAGAGCAGCTTCCATGCTTGTGTGACTGAGTCTCCATTTTCTTGCTAGTGTTTTTCACATTGGGTAGAAACTGGCGCTTTTTCAAGACCTTAATTTTGTTTTCATCTTTTAAAAATGCAGAAAATGAGAGCCCACACCAACTCCAGGTTAGAGCAAGATCTATGAATGTGAGTCTATTTTCTTTTTAAACATCTACTTCTCATGTGTAAAATGCTTCTATTTCCTGTTACTGCTGCTATTATTTAGATGCATATACTCGTTTCTAATGTAATACAAAGTTATCTCCCTCATTATTTAGTAATAACCTAATTTCACACTGCTCTGAAGAACTAGATCGGATAGACCCCAATCATTTGTAAATTTATAGGACATACATTAAACAGCAGAACCAAGTTGTAAAAGCATTATGTGAATTAATGCAATACATGCTTTTAATTATATAAGGAGCAAAGATACAAGAATTTTTAAGGATGAGAGGCAGAGAACGTGCACAAGAGGATCAGGATATGCTATTTCCTTATCCTGGAACACACACTTGCCTAATCCTGACCTATCCACTTAACTCCTGCAGTCTAATTCTATTCATCTCTCAGATCCTGGTTTAATTATTACCCCTTCCATGAAGACTTCCCGTATCCTAAGTCTAGGTTAAATTCCCTCCTTAGTATCCATGCTTGTCCGATCATAGCACTCATCACATTGTATTGTAATTACCTATTTTCAAATACATTTTTCCAAATTTCCAAATATAGAGACTACAAAAAAGACCTCATGTGGGGCTTCTGTCTTGTTCTCCATTACATCCTCAGTACCTAGTATACTGTCTGGCAAATAGTAGACACAAATTAAATGTGTGTTAAATCATTGAATTAAGTTGGGCCTGGTACCCAAGGGAAACCTGTGAGCTGATAAAGCAGAGAGGAAACAATCAGTTCCTTGATAAATTTAGAAACTCCTAAGGATGGTGTTCTGTAAATTGCCACCATTGGCAGTGTTCTATTTAATCAACACATTCAATTTAAATCATTTTGATAAACATTAATTGAGCACCTACCATCTAATGGCAGGGACTATGTTAGGCAGTGTAGCTCCCAGAAGTGATCTGGGGCCCAGAGTGCTGCTGCTGGGATCAGACCTCCATCTTACAGACAGTCCCTTGCACTGTTTGTCTTCAGATCATCCCTCCCCAAGAAGAAAACAGTCACCCAGTGGCCTCCCACCTACTTAATGAGTACTCAGGACTACAGCCTGATTGCTTATCTATGTCCAAACAATTTTCAGACAAAGCTCATTATGCCTCACAGCTCAGCTCTGTCATCACAAGAATTCAGTCTCCAAGTTATCCACCCCTGCCATCTTCTACCACCAGCCAATTCCACTTTAGCCACTCAACTGCCAAGGTCATGGCCTTCATTTTTTCTCAAACTATTGCAACCCCACTCAGATTACAGTTTCAAGCATCCCACTCTGACAACCATTTCCAAATCTCCCATTTGTCCATTTTTGGTCATTTGTCAGTATTTGTCTCATTCCAGTAATTCTTCAAACACATGGAGCTCTCCAATCCATTACCCCTTTGCTACCATCCATTGTCCCGACTCCTAATTGTCCCAGCTATATATGAGCTAAAATTCAGGCTTAATATTATGTGCTGTCTTAACATCTAGGAACAATCTGAAGGGTCCTGAATGACCTAGCTGCAAGCTTCCCTCCCTTCTCCACTCCCACAGATAAAACCTTCTAGCCAAACAACTCTTCTTATCGTAGGGACCAGAAACAGCTCCTGCTTACCCCTGAGCAGCAAGTTTTAGTTCCCTGTGTGCCCACAGAAGTATTCAAATAAGTCAATCACATCCTCCAGGGGAACCAGGGGATGTTGCTACCCTTTAGAAAACAAAGTCTGCCTCTTACAATCCCACGTTGCTCACTCTATTCCCAAGTGCAAGCTCTGTGCCCCAGCATGGCATCCGGTGCCCTCCTCCCTCAGGCTGTAAGGATATGTGATTAATAAACAACTGTTAATCTCATCTGTCCAGTATTGGGTATCACACGTGCAGTCATTCCCATAACCCTAGGGCAGGAATCCCTCCTTCACCAATGGGGTGAAGAGCAGGTGGTCCAAACACTTATTCTCCTAGCGCATCCTAGATTCTGTGGTTCATCATTAAAATCATCACTTAAATACTTTTAGCTCTCTTGCCCCTCATTTCCACCATCATACTCTTCTAGAAAATACAGTTAATTAAACTCAACTATCAGTTCCACATCTGCAACGAGAACACCTTACTGAAGAAAATAACACAACCCTATTTTCTGATCTATTGTAAAGGTCATGAGGACAAATTTTAAATAAGCACTCACTTAGTTATTCATGTAGTAATTTCCCACTCTCTGAGATCAATGTCTCATGCTCATCTCTTGGAGAATACAAGGTAGAAAAATAAAATTAGTCCCAGACTCCTCCCACCCCCAACTCATTACACTCCAGACTTACTAACCTGTTTGTTCCTTGAACTCATGGAAAGCATTTTCTACTTGCTGTTCTCTCTACCAAGGATTCTCTTCCTCAAAATATTTACATGACTACTGGCAATAAAAACTTGTCTCAAATGTTACCTTCTTAGAGAGAAGACCTACCCTAACCACACCAGCTGTAAGGATCCCCTGAATACCAGTTCACTCTATCATATTACCTGGTTTATTATTTTCAAATCACTATCTGAAATTATCTGTTTATTTTTTAATAGTCTGTCTTTATCCCACCAAAATGAAAGCTTTATGAGAGTCAGACTTTTTTCACCATTCTATTTCATGAATCTAAATTCCAAGTACATAATGCTCAATAATTATTAATGACTAGGAGTTAATTTTCATAGAAGAAAGAGAGAGTAGAAACATTAAGTATTTCACATCACATTATGGCAAAACATTTGTTCACCAGCACTCCAAATTTATATTTTTAATGGACTTTCTATTGCAATTTTTAATCATTTACAAACTAACAGAACTTCAGTTAAACTCTCAGTCTGAACCACTAATCATTTACATCTTCTAAAAATTCACAAATCTTTCAGAGCTACTATACATTATTGACGGCAGAAGTCGAATCAAGATTTGAATCCAAACCTTAATTAATATCTGTAAAACCTGGTAAATCCTATACCTTCAATCATGTTTGCCATACTGATCTGGCTTAATGATGATTGGAATCTTTGTAGCAAAAGGAAGTAATTAAAGTTTTCTAAAATAAATCAGGTTTCCTTCAAGATCTTGGTGTAAATTGTTATCTGAAACCAATATTCTCAACTCCCTAGGTTCCTTATATTACTTTGAGCTGGTTAAACCTACATTCATACCACTGTATTCCATTACATTCCTTGCAAATTCATGACATGACACATGATTAAATGTAAGGGAGACTTTGTGGCAGAAAACAGTATTTAAAACCCATTTAATTCCATGAATATTTCATGGTGCCAGGCACTATGCCAGGTGCTGCAGGGGATTCAAAGACGAGGAAAGCACAGCACCTGTTCTCAAAGCACTCACAGCCCTCAGCAGCATAGGTCTGAGAGACACAGGACATCATCGAACAAGCCCTTTCACTGGGGTTATCAGATCGACTAAAAGCACCAACCATTTCATTCAAGAGCTATGTATCTGATGACAGAAACTTGTAACAGCCAAAGGTTAAGTATAGCTTAACATCCATAATTTACCAACTGAAATTATCTTGTCTTTTTATATTTTCTTTTAAAGAACTTTAGAGTAATAATAATATTTGGTTTGGGTTTAGACCCTGGCTGACTCTGGAAATTGCTCTGTAGTATTTATAAATTGTTCTAATGCTTTTTTTCTACCTTGTGTTCTCCAAGAGAGATGATTATTACACATTATTAATTTCTAGTATAATAATTTATATTATAATTCATATTATTCAATCATACACTTAGGTGGTTATAATGTAAGTATAACAAGTAAAATCAACTTATTCATTGAGATTCTGGCCTAAATATTAGTTGGATGTGTCTAATAATTCAAGCCATCTACCAGCAAACCTTAGTTGACAGGCTCATATCATGTCAAATTCCTCCTAAAACTCAGCAGCTATTAGGAGCTAAAAGTATTTTGTAAACATTCTTTAAATATTTTGCTTCAGTGATCTGGGGATTGTGGGCAAGAGAAAAAGGCTTTACAGAGTTAGGTCAGCGAACCAACAGTAAAGGATGGAAAAATCCAGTGCTTTGACTGTGCTGCAATATCCTCCATAAATTTACATAAATGTGTCAGGAATGATTTATCACACACAACAACTTCAGCCAAATCCGTGGTCCATAGATTTTGCAAGCCAGTTGGTGTTGAACATGTAGTCCCACCTGTGGAAAGTGAAGAGAATGGGGCCCCCACTGGCCCACCAACAATGCAGATTTTAATTTTTAAGTTGCTTTAGAATTAACTTAGACCAGGCGCGGTGGCTCATGCCTGTAATCCCAGCATTTTGGGAGGCCGGGGCAGGTGGATCATGAGGTCAGGAGATCGAGACCATCCTGGCTGACACGGTGAAACCCTGTCTCTACTAAAAATACAAAAAATTAGCCGGGCGAGGTGGTGGGCACATGTAGTCCCAGCTACTCGGGAGGCTGAGGCAGGAGAATGGTGTGAACCTGGAAGGCGGAGCTTGCAGTGAGCTGAGATGGCGCCACTACAGTCTGGCCTGGGCGAAAGAGCGAGACTCCGTCTCAAAAAAAAAAAAAATAATAACTTAAAAGGTATGTGTTACTTTGCACAACACGGGTGTTTATTTAAATCTGGGTATAGTTCTCATTGCTTTTCCTTAATGGGAGTGGAGAGATCTAAGGATCAGTGAGACAGATATTTTCCAAAGAGAGAGGAATTTTCTTCTTTTACTTCTCTATTTCCCACATATAAATCTCTACAACTAGGGGGAAGTATCCAAAAACTCAACAATTAGAATAGCAAATAGATTTCAATTCTGATGCTAAGAGATGGGGAGTGGCTGCTTGAAACAATGTACTAAGAAACATGTTTGCCTTTTGCCATTGCAGACCTACATGATCCTTGAATCAAGTCAGCATGTAATAAAGAAAAGTACCCTGGTCCCACCAGGCAAGAGGAACCTCTAGGCCCCATAGTCTCTTTCTTGGTCTTCCCTTCTCTCCTTTCTACCTATATATTCTCTGTTTACCTTTTAAGGCCCAACCCAAACTCTAACTTTCTCTAAAGCCTCCCTGATGTCACACATTATTTTGTCCTCAGAACATTTATTCTATATATGTCACATAAGTCAGTGTTTTATTAGATATTTTATTGTTTTCTAGCAAAAATCTAACTTCAATAAAATGAACAAGGTCTTGTATTTCTTTCTTTATATATTACAGGGTCGGGGATGCTGTTAGCCACACAATATGTGCTTTGTAAATGTTTGATCTGTTGCTGAAGGGAAGGTCTTGAATGCCAAGCTGTTGGCAAGCTACTTTCAGAATTATCAAAATGCAGTTCATCTTAATATGGTCATTTACAGAGCAACCTAAAGACAAGTTGCAATAAAAAGAATAACATGGCTTAACTTCTCAAAGGGTTTGATTCGGCAAAGTAATGACAGAGCAAAGTAATCTCACTTTTAAGTTAGGACCACATTTTCCCAATGACGTCAAAGGCTTCCGTTACAGGCTATTTTCCTTTTTCTCCTGCAACTTCTGGTCTCACAGAGATCCCCACTGTCTGCTGGTCACATTCCTTCTGACAGGGTTCATGCCTGCCATCCCCTGCTGTTACTGTTGGATGTAAACAAAGACTGGACTTAAGGCTCATAGAATCCAGAAATTAGGACTAATATTTCTCTCCAATAGGGAGGAAGCAAGCCCTTCTCAGGACTAGAATTCACTGCAAAGTGTGGGTAGTGATATCTATGCCATAGAGCTTCCGGGAGGCTTAACCATGGTAATGGGTGGGGCAGGGCCTCTAGTTGGGCCTCTAATACCGTCAGGTAGTCACTCTGTAAGTGGAGATCATGTTGCCGTTATTATAGTCTTGATTTAATTGTCCTTTCTTGACCTCAGCGTGATGTTTTAGGAATCCAATTTGTTCTGCTGGTGCTTATCACATTTTATACAGAAACCTTTCTTGTCATTGCTCTTCTCCAGCTCCTATAAATCCCTCTCCAGAGGATTTGGTGCCCATTTTATCAGTCCTCCAAGGCTGAGATGGTGATAATACAATTACCATGACTGACCCTTTCCTGATAAGCTAGTTCACACCTAACAGAGGCAACTCTCAGATCATGTAAAATGTTAATGTCCTTATTTGTCCTTCTTCCTGGTAAGTTGCTTTTGGGTGTCTTTGCACCTTTTAAAGCCCACATCACTTTGAAATAAAAGGCTCAAAATTGAAACCATGTTCATGAGTTGTTTGTTGCATCTCTAGTAAAAACCAGGTGGGATAAGGATGGAGACTAAAATGAACGGGTGAAACAAAGTAATGAGGCTTAGAAATTACTCATTGATACCAATTATCTATATTCTCTCATGCTTTTATCCCCACATATTTTCCTTTTCCCATTACCATGGATAATTGAGAAATGAAATATCCCAATTCCGTTATCCAATTTGGAAAAAACAAGAGAAGAATTGTTCTAAATACTTCTATTATGACAAGGAGGAAAAATTTCCTGAAGGCATTATATTATTTGGATCAGAATATCATCATTTCTTATCCAAATACTTGGTCAAGAAAGAGATTTTTTTTTTCCTGTGTCTGACTTCTGTCTCAATCTATGCGCCACTTAAGAATGAAGGGACATTAGCCGGGTGCGGTGGCTCACGCCTGTAATCCCAGCACTTTGGGAGGCTGAGGCAAGCGGATCACAAGGTCAGGAGATCGAGACCATCCTGGCTAACACGGTGAAACCCCGTCTCTACTAAAAATACAAAAAATTAGCCGGGTGTGGTGGTGGGCGCCTGTAGTCCCAGCTACTCGGGAGGCTGAGGCAGGAGAATGGCATGAACCTGGGAGGCAGAGGTTGCAGTGAGCCGAGATCAGGCCACTGCACTCCAGCCTGGGTGACAGAGCAAGACTCCATCTCAAAAAAAAAAAAGAAAAGAAAAGAATGAAGGGACATTTACCCAAGGCCTAGTGTATGTCTAATTTCAATGATATAACTTTTTCTGATGCCAAATAAAGAACAGAACTTCAACCTTAAAACCCTGAAAAATCTTCTCTTCACAATTAAGTAAAATTGAATTTCAATTCTCAGGGTTTGTTCTACTTTCTAAGACTTGTGTAAGCCCCATATAACTTCCTAGATTGTCATACTTTATGTCTTCTTCCTTCTTCAATTTAATAATCGAGGAACACAATATTTTGAATTTCAGTTAAATACAAGTTATCACCTCAATAAACTTTTTTGTTATGTTGAATTTGGCCTTCTCCAGAGAATCAAATAACCAAGCACAATGAGTAAGCTGAAATTCACTAAGCTTAACTTATGCCTACTTCATGATTTCTCTTTAGACCCTCCACCACTCAAGCACATTCAGCAAGAATTTGATGACCACCTACTCTATGCCTTGGCATATGTAAAGGAAAAGGAAACATAATTCCTAACCATCAGAAGCTGATCATCTATCTGGGATTTATTTTTTTTCTGCCATGGCGGAAAGCACTACACTGAGGTGTGTTCACATAATATTAACAGTTACATAAAGGTACACAACAGAATATTAGGATTTAAAAGAAATGATTTTGGATCCTGTCCCATCTATGTTCAGGACAGTCATCAGTCACTTTGTCTGCCATGCCCAATATCCTCTTTCAATTTTCTAATTTAACTGATGCCATCCATGTCCCATGAAAAGCATAGCCCTATTTACAGCATGACTCTACCTGCCCCTAACAAGAACTGACTGGATCAGTTGAGCAAACTTGACCAATAGAAGCAATTCATAAACTAGGAAAAGCAATCCATAATCTAGGGGAGGCCCCTCTCTCTCTCACTCTCACTCTCTCGATCTCTCTCTCTCTCTCTTTCACTCACTAAAAGATAGACTATAATCAAGTTGTAGTGGGCAGTGGGCACTGGAGCTGTGAGTTCACTTATAGTCAAGACAAAGCCAAGTGAGAGAAGGAGGTGAAGAGAGAATGAGCTTCTTTTGTTAGATTGTGTTACATTGCACAAATAGCCAAGATTCGTCCCATCTCTGTAGGCAAGCCCCTTTGCAAGGTGACTTTGCAACTCTTCACATCAAGGCAAAGCTTATTTCTCTATCCATTGAATCTAGACTTGCTTTAGCCATGTGACACAAGCAGAAACTTTAAAAGTGCTTGTGTATTGGGGCTTGCTCTCTCTCTCTTGCTGTTCTTTGGAACGTTGAAGCCACCATGTGAGGAAATCAAGGCTAGCCTACTGAAGGATGAGAAGCCATGAAAAGCAAAGCTGTGCTGCCCAGCTGAGGCTCCCCCAGACCAAGCAGTCTGCCAACTGCCACATATGTGAGTAAGATCATCCCAGGCCATTCGAGCCCAGATCAGCCACCAGGTGTCTGCAGTGATCAGCAGAGGAGCCTAGACCTGAAGAATCTCCTGCTGACTTACACAATCAAGAGAAATAATAAAGGTTTGTTGTAAGTCATTTACTCTTGAAGTGGTTCCTGTTTGTTTCTTTTGTTAAGATTATGTGAAATCACACTTTTCATCACTCCATTTTTTTCCACCCAGGAATGGTGCTACTCCCATCTGGTGGACCTGTCAACCACACAACCCCCAGTATCCTACCACAAAGTTGCACATGTGACACACAGTAGCCTAACGCAGTACCCCATTTTACTAGAAACAGGAGTGGCCTGTGACCCAAGTAAAGACAATGAGAGTTTTTTTTCCAAAATTGCTCTAGGCACTAGCGAAAAAGAAGTTCTCTCTCCTGTGGTTCTTTCCTTCTGAGCTGCTGAATCCATATTTATTACTATCAAATAAAAGCCTACCTAAGAATAAAATCGAAGCTGAGAGAAGGAAAAAAAGACAAAAAGAGAGGAAGGAAAAAAGCAAAGCCAAGAGATCAAAGAAAAAAAAAAAAATCAATTCTTTATAACGTGATGTGAATTCCTGGATCCAACCACACCTGAAGTTCCTGGACTTCATGGTTACCATTTTGTTTGTGCTGGCTTAAGTTGGGTTTCTGATTCTCACAACTCAAAGAACCTTAATGCACTAGTCCCCTCAATCTGTTTAAAGCGTATGGAATATACGATCTCTACTCCCTCCATTTCACAGAGGTTAAAGATGTGGTCTCTTGTGTTTCTTTCTCAAAAGATGAAGGCATCAAAGACAATGTCATGACAGCACTTTATTCATGGTATGTTTAAGAAATGATAACAATATATAAAATCTCTGAAGAACAGCATTAAGGAAAGGAATACATGGTGATGATTATAAAAGCAGTAACTACATTCTCTGACTCCTCAGAAATCTGTCATACTTTCAAAAACCTACCATTTCCACTCTGATATCCATTATACTTGGTAAGTGGTGATCTTCATGATGTGGAATTGGCTTTATTTTCCTTTCTTACCTTAAAATTAGCATCTTCTATGAAAGTGGGGGGGTGACCATTGGCTGTTTTGGCTGCCTCAAATTCATCCCATTTTCTTTGGCTACTAAATGCGTGTTTTTTTGTTTGTTTGTTTGTTTGTTTTTGGAGGAGTTACCTCTGGACACAATCTGTGGAACAAGCAAGTGACCCAAGTTACATTAGTCAAATACTCCTCCTGGGAATTTGAATATTGAATAAGGATACAAAAAGATTTTTTTAAGTGTTTCCTCATTTTGGCTGCCACATCTTAACAAGTTCCTTAGGTGGTTTCTGTAACCTCACCCCAGAAATGTTCCTATTAGCTCTTAGAGCCACCTAATATCCTCCTAATAAATTCATTTTACTACCAAAGTTCACCAGAATCAGTTTTAATTGCTTGCACTAAAGAATACCATAGCAGAGCAGTCTGACTCTCCACAAATTATCTGTGCTCACCTTCCAGAGTACAAAGTTGTTTCTGGGAGGTACTGCCACCCAGGACTCTACTTGCAAGTGCCCTGCCACCCATGTGAGTTCATGTGACTAGTTCTCATTTAGAGTATATGAATGGCAGTGATTCCTGTCACCTCCAAAACCAGCTGGTTAAGAAGTAGGTATGCCTTCTCCACCTTCTCTTTCTTCCTGCATGGGCAGACTAGATGTTGTCACCCACGGTAACCTTGGATGTCACATGTTGAAAATGGTACAGGCTTCTTCAGCTTGGGTTCCTGAATAACCATGTGGACCAGATTTCCTCCTTCTTACCAGCCCACCTTCTGTGACCCATATCTGTACCACCTCTTGGACTTTAAGAGAAACTTCCATTGTGTCAAGCCATGGAGACTTCAAATTTTATCTGTTACAGCAGCTGGGAGCACTTTAACACAAGCCTCAGCCAATACAAATGAAAATGCAAACGTATTGTATTAGCATTTTGAAGACTCTGAAACAACTGGAGAAAGCCTGTCTGGCAGGAGCAAGAGTCATTCGACACTTCTCCCAGTGATCCAGCTGTCCAGATGCCAGACACTGGCCCTCTCACCCTCTACCCCCAACTCCATTCTCTCCTTACCAGCAGAAAATACATTTTCTCTCTCCTCAGAAATAAGAGAAAGTGCTGCTTGATATGTACGATGCTCAAGATGAATTAGGTTCTGAGGTCAGTGTTGCCTTATTAATGACATCATGGAGAAATCTTAACACTTCTGCCTTCTGACTACTTTCAGAGCCTCCGAAGGGATGTTGAGCCAGAAAGATATAGTGAGGCCTAAACAAAGATATGAGTAATATGTCCTTTGAGACAAAGAGCTTGGAAAAAGGCAGGAGAGCTATGGTTTTTATTAGTATGGATAACCATGCCTTCACTAGGCTAAGAATTTTGAGATATATCCTTCCAAAATTCTAAATTTTCCGCAGCTGATTAACTATATTAAGTGAAATGTTTGTCCCTTTTTCTTTACCTGTAGCTCTCTCAATAATAATAAATTATCGTACAGTGCAGCCTCAAGAGGGGGTGTGTGTACAGGATCAAAATGAGTATGAAATGCTCATCTAAAGACCATTGCATATTGCCTGGTCACCTTGTCAGTAACCCTTCCTAACCTGACCCTCAGGCTCTGATCCCCCACATGCCTGCATTCTCTGGAGGAGTCTGTTTGAGGGAAGGGTGCGGGATCTGGATTAACAGGCTCCAGAAGAACACAATCTCATTCAAATCATGGCTCTGCAATTAACCATATATAAACTCATAACCTCTCTGTGACCACTTCCCTAGCTGGAAAATGGTTCTGTAATATATTCACTGTCTTCCCTAACAGAGATAAGGAAAGACTGCACTAAAATCCATCAGTGAAAACTCACACTGCTCTGGAAGGCAGAGCTGGGCACGGCTTGGAGTCAGGGTTCTCTCGTTCCACTCACTCTATGTGACCATTGCCCTAAAGCTTACAAACTCTTACCAACTTTTAGCCAGGTGGTGAGTCCAAAAGTGACTCTACCTCTCCTAGTTTTCTTAACTATAAAATAAGGAAAACAATATACCCTGGCAGGTTTGTTATGCTCAGTGAGTCTACAAGTCTACAGTGTGCTCTCTCTCTCATACACACATATATACATGTATACGTATGTGTATATATGTATATGATAAACCAAAAGTAAAATTCTAAACTCCCTAGCCAATTGAATGGATCCTCCTCTTGGCCAAGGGTATTCCTAAGTTAACCTGAAATACTAGTTCAGGCCATGATGGGAAGTGGGGTCGGACATGCCTCATTATACTCTCCTCCCTTTGGAATTCAGGCACAGCTGACCAGCGTTTAACATTAAAACAGAGCCCTTAAGAGTGACAAAGCAAGCTTACTATAACAATAAGATACCAACATAACAGATAGCTAGCCCTCAAAGAAATCAAAATATTTTACCCCAAAATATATTTCTTTGATATATTCTGAAATGGCCTTGCAAAGTTGTCTCTCGTGGGGGAAAATCTATATTCTGTACCCAATCCACTTCCCTTTCCAGGTATCTTTTCTGCTCCAGGAGAGAATTAACTGAGTGTCTGGCACCTTTTTAATTCTGATAAGAAACACTTAAAATCTATTCTCTCTGAAGCCTGCTACCTGAAAGCTTCATCTGCATAATGAAAACCTTGGTCTCCACAATCCTCCTTCTTAACTCAGACACTCCCGTCTATTGATTCCAGGTCTTCAGATAAACTCTTTCAACCACTTGCCAATCAAGAAATCTTAGAATCCACCCATGACCTGGAAGCCCATCCCCATCCCCACCCCTACACCCTGTCACCTTCAAGGTGTCCTGCTTTTCTGGACCAAACCAATGTACATCTTACATGTATTGATTGATGTCTCATGTCTCTCTAAAACATATAAAACCAAGCTGTAACCTGAGCACCTGGGGCACATGCTTTCAGCACCTCCTTGGGCTATGTCACCAGCATGTCCTTAACCTTGGCAAAATAAACTTCCAAACTGACTGAGATCTGTCTCAAATACTTTTTGGTTTACAAAATATGGATAAATAAGTATATTGCTCCCACTGGAGCAATTGCAAATATTATGCTTTGCCTAGGGCCAAGGAATATCTTTATGAAGTCTTAATGAAGAAGATGTCCATATTTCTAACAAGGCTTTTTGCTGACTTTTACACTCCAGTTTCATCTGTAAACCCTCGTACTTCAAGATTTTGGGGAGGGTTCTTTTAGAGCTGAGGTAACGGAATTACTAGCATGGCCCATTTTCAGTCCTCAAAATACTGAAAAGTACTCAAAAGAACTGAAAAAGTACAGCCTGAAAAGTACACTCTTGTAAGTCCACATTAACCAAGTCAAGCACGGGAATAATCACTTTTATAATCATAATTGTTTTCTCCCAAGGGTTGTTTACCTTTACAAAGTTCTCGGCAAATATCTTTCTCTTCATCTTAAGGTAGTCTCTGGTGGACATTTTACTTTTGCACTTTTTTATTTCTTCCTTTTCCATAATGTGAACCTGAACTACTTACCCTTAGTTCCGTATTCCAATACTAGGGATTTGCAAGTTTCTGAGTTTATTTTATAACTTGTATTTCTCTCAGTGTGGAAAATGGTATTTGTGAAATTCTTTCTTCTAAGGTTGATATTTCCAGTTATTTAAGATATCTTGAGAAAAGATTATTAACAACGTGTCAAAGTAAAGTGACTTACCTAAACTATGTGTGATTATGTATATAGATCTTAAGATATCAGGTTCTTAAGAGACATTAAGAAATACTATCTGCTGATAACTTTGATGATTTTGAGGCAAATTACACATTCTAAGAACAAAAGGTTAACTCTCATCCCCTAGATGCCGTAATGTCTCCTTTTAAGCCACCTTGTCAAGATCCATTATAACCTTCATACTAGGTTCATAATTCTTTCTTTCTACTTAGAGATTTCCTAACCATCAGAGACCATAAATTAAAGCACACCAAGATAACCATTTGAAGAACATACTTCTATTAAGAAATCTTCTTGGATAATACCCAGTATCCTTGCTCCCAAGTTTTATAAAGAGTTCTTTTTCTAAAACCTCAAAGCCCCAATTCACCTAATTGGTCAATGTCCTATATATTTTCCATCTTCTAACCCAAATCTCTTTTGAAGTGATAAAGTTTTAAAAAATCATATTTTTTTCTTCAGTTTCAAAAGTTAAAGTTCTATGTAAAGTTTAATATTATACAGAATAAGGTTTTAACACAAATCATCGCCAGCCAGGGAGATTATGACCTTGAATGGGCCAATAGTTAGCCTTAAAGAATTTACTTTGAATTTAAGTTGCAAATCTGAGAATAAAAAATACATTGCAAAACTGCTGCAGCATATATATATATATATATACACACACATACACACACACATACATACACATATATACATATATACACACACATACATTTACATATATACACACATATACACATATACACACACACACACATATATATCTCCTGTTTTGTCTGACCATTTGTGTCTTATCTCTATCAGTAGTACATGGAGAAGTGACTGGAGGAAGGGAGAATGGGAGGGGAAGAGACAGATTGGGAAAGAGAGAAAGATCGAGAGGGAGAGAAGAGAAAGAAGGGGGAAAATGGAAGGAAGGGACAGAATAAAAAGTGACAGAAAGAGAGGGAGGGAGGAAGAAGAGAAGATTATTGTCTAATTTGTTTCTTTTTACAGCAGGTAAGCAGGCAAGCTCATTGTCACTCCTGTGGTTTCCAGTGCCGCTCTGTGGCTCAGACCTTAGAGTCCAGGGGGTAATATTACCACAGGGCAATTTCCCAGCAGCAGAGCAGCAGAGCAGTTGCTTCTGAATCTGCACACTTTGGAGAAGAAAACTTGAAGTTTTTTTGTTCTACAGGACAGATACATACATAGATAGAAAGATGATAGATAGACAGACAGACATACAGACAGACAGACAGACAGATAGATAGGTATTGAGAGTCCACAAGTCTATTCTTTCCTCCATATATATGGAATATGATTCTCCCAGCCTAGAGGGGAGATTTTAGCTGCTCTGATTCAACAACATAAAATGCAAGGCACTCACCACATCATGCTCTGGGGTTGGACAGTCAATATTCTGCCATTTTTGGGCTTTTGTCTACATTCACTCTCCAGCTCTGAAATACACTCACAGAGTGTATTAAGCAAAATCTTCATTTGTTTGCATTGTGAAATAATGTAATAAGCTCAATTTCCATAAACGAGGCAAGAAAATAGATCTTAGAACTTAGCCATTCTATGACATATAGATATTACTTAGGGGGTTGACTTTTTCACTTTTGAGCTTATAATATAACCCTGGTAATTCTTCCCAAAGAAACTTTATTCCAATGTATAATCATACTGAGAACATTTACGTTCCCTCATGGAAAAGACCATTTGTGCCAGGCGCAGTGGCTCACACCTGTAATCCTCGCGCTTTGGGAGGCCAAGGTGGGTAGATAACCTGAGATCAGAAGTTCGAGACCAGCCTGGCCAACATGGTGAAACCCCGTCTCTACCAAAAATACAAAATTAGCCAGGCATGGTGGCATGTGCCTGTAATCCTAGCTACTTGGGAGGCTGAAGCAGGAGAATCACTTGAACCCAGGAGGCAGAGGTTGTGGTGAGCCAAGATCGCACCTTTGCACTCCAGCCAGGGTGACAAGAGCGAGACTCCATCTCAAAACAAAGAAAGACCATTGCTCTGCCACTGATTTCCATTCCGCACATCCCCAGAAGGGGGAATGGAGACCCTGCTAACCTGTTCATATGGTCATCAGAGTGTGTAGAAATGGATTTGTTTGAGAGGTCACTGACTTTTCCATTCCTACTTGTCAGCAGGACTTTTTTTTTTTTTTTTTTTTTTTGAGACGGAGTCTCGCTCTGTCGCCCAGGCTGGAGTACAGTGGCACGATCTCAGCTCACTGCAAACTCCGCCTCCCGGGTTCACACCATTCTGCCTCAGCCTCCCGAGTAGCTGGGACTACAGGTGCCCGCCACCACGCCCGGCTATTTTCTTTTCTTTTTTTTTTTTTTTTGTATTTTTAGTAGAGACGGGGTTTCACCTTGTTAGCCGGGATGGTCTCGATCTCCTGACCTCACGATCCGCCCACCTCAGCCTCCCAAAGTGCTGGGATTACAGGCGTGAGCCACCGCGCCCGGCCTTGTCAGTGGGACTAAACTGATGAATTCCTCTCTTTCAAATGCATCCTCACTTAGAAAAGTCTCTGGATATTAATATGTTTGGCTCTATTTTTCTGACAAAGTAGACTCCCTGAACTGAACTCCAGAAGAAACCTTTTTATCTTGCCTTCTGGTAGCCTATAAATAGGTTAAATCCTCATACTTTTTTTTCTTTCTTTTTTTTTTTTTTTTTTTTTTTTTGAGAAGGAGTCTTGCTTTGTCGCCCAGGCTGGAGTGCAGTGGCGCTATCTCCGCTCACTGCAAGCTGGGCCTCCCAGGTTCACGCCATTCTCCTGCCTCAGCCTCCCGAGTAGCTGGGACTACAGGCGCCCGCCACCATGCCCAGCTAATTTTTTGTATATTTTTAGTAGAGACGGGGTTTCACCGTGTTAGCCAGGATGGTCTCGATCTCCTGACCTCGTGATCTGCCTGCCTCGGCCTCCCAAAGTGCTGGGATTACAGGCGTGAGCCACCGCGCAGCCCCTCATACATTTTTTTAAAGTCAATGTTCATCTGAGATTCTGATTTTCAGAGCTGTAGTAGAATATATACTAATTTCTTAATTCAAAAAAGGTAATTTTTATATTTAAAAAAATACTTCCAAAATAAAGTTAAAGCATAATTTCAGCTATGCTACTTGAGCTTTCAGTTATATTACTTTAATAAGAAATGAAATTGAAGAACATGGGTAGGCACGGTGGCTCAGGCCTGTAATCCTAGCACTTTGGGAGGCGAAGATGGGAGGACTGCTTAAAAAGTGTTCAAGTCCAGCCTGGGCAACATAGTGAGACCCCTGTCTCTACAAAACATAAAAAATTAGCCTGTCATGGTGGCATGTGACTGCAGTCTCAGCTACTCTGGAGACTGAGGTGGGAGGATTGCTTGAGCCTGGGAGATCATGGCTGCAGTTAGCTGTGATTGTGCCAATATACTCTAGTCTCGGTGACAGAATGAGACCCCATCTCTTTAAAAAAAAAAAAAAGCTTAAGATATGTAAGAATCTCACTAATGAACTAATTATATAGATTTTTGTAAACATAATTGTAAATAATACAAAAAAAGTGTTCTTTTAATCACTAAAAACAAGGGTATTCATGTAATTTCTTCAAAATTATCAACTTTTTTTCCTTCCTTTCCCACGTATAGTCCAACATCACATCTACTCTTTTCCACTCCCAGCAGCTATTTTCCATCTGCTGTCTGGGTTATTGATGCCAGTCTCTTCCAAACATTTCTCTTCCTAACATGTGACCTACTCTGAAGAATGTTTTGGGTGCCCTTGAGAAGAATGTACATTCTGTTGCTGTGGGATGGAATGTTCTGTACATGTTTTTTAGGTCCATTTGGCCTACAGTGTACTCCAAATCCAATTTTTTTTTTATTAATTTTCTGTTTGGATAATCTGTCCATCTTTGAAAGTGAGTTCCCTACTATTGCTATAGTGCAATCTATCTCTCCCTTTGGGTCTTTCAATATTTACTTTATATATTTAGGTGTTCTGTGTTGGGTATATATATTTACAATTATTATATCCTCTTCATGAATTAACC
The DNA here is from genome assembly GCF_000001405.40 of Homo sapiens. Taxonomy (NCBI): domain Eukaryota; kingdom Metazoa; phylum Chordata; class Mammalia; order Primates; family Hominidae; genus Homo; species Homo sapiens. The sequence goes on along the minus strand of NC_000012.12, from coordinate 42,796,326 downwards.
CCTCTATCATTATAGATATAAGAACATTAGTTCTTCTTTGTCTCTTTTTACAGTTTTGACTTAGTCTATTTTGTCCAATGTAAGTACAGCTACCTCTACTCTTTTTTGGTTTCCATTGGTGTGGAATATCTTTTCTCATCCCTTCACTTTCAGTTCATGTGTGTCCTTAAAAGTGAGGTGAGTCTCTTGCAGGCAGCACCTAACTAGAACCTTCACCTTCCTTAAGTCACAATTTGATATCACTTCCTGATTTTCCGCAACTAGGCTAGGCACCCTGTTTAGTACTTCCAAGACTTTTACTTCACTGTCTTTCAATTGCCTGCGTATGGTATCCCTGAGGACTGAGATACTCACTGACATGAGGGTAGGGCTGGGGAGGAGCGCTCACTATATAGTCACTGAGTGAATGAGTAAATCATAATTTTACCTCCCCATTTTCTCCTACTCTTCTCTAATCACCTATTCTTTGTCATCCCCAACTACCTTCATGATTGGAAAGATAAGAGAGTTGTTGAGAAAAAAACACTAGGTTTGGTTTCAGTGCCCCAGAAGTCCTAACTCTATTATTGTACTATTTGAGCTACCTTGGATTTTTTTTTTTTTTTTTTTTTGAGATGGAGTCTCCTTCTGTCACCCAGGCTGGAATGAAATGGCACAATCTCAGCTCACTGCAACCTCCACCTCCTGGGTTCAAGCACTTCTCCTGCCTCAGCCTCCCAAGTAGCTGAAATTACAGGTGCCTTCCACCATGCCCAGCTAGTTTTTATATTTTTAGTAGAGACAGGATTTCACCATGTTGGCCAGGCTGGTCTCGAACTCCTGACCTCAAGTGATCCACCTGCCTCAGCCTCCCAAAGTGCTGAGATTACAGGCATAAGCCACTGCACACAGCCAAAAGTTATCACCAAAATCTTTTATGGCAGTGACATTCATCATATTGAATGTATTAGTCAAGAACATAGACACAGATGAAAGACAACTTGAGTTGGTGTCACAAATATCTGGATATTGGAAATACAATTCAAGAATCAAAAAGGTGGCTTACCTTCACTGGGTCCCCAAGGCCATGTTCCTGTGCCTCATGCTCAAAGTCTTCTGGATTCTAAACCTACCTGTTAGTAAACCTTATCCTTTTGTTGCTTTCCAGATAAATACATTGTGCTCTCTGGCCCATACATATTGTTCCTATGTCCTGCCATATGGCCTGCCCTTCCCTTTAGCCAATATTATTTATCCCAAGTACACATCTTCCTCTGTGATGAGTTTTTTCAACTTAGTCACACACAGTCCACTCACTGTGAAGAGTGTATTCATATATCCATTCATCTCATAAGCATTTATTGGCCTCCTGCTATGTGTCAAGCACAGCCCTGGATGTTATGGAGAATACCAAAATGAGAACTGCTCCTCCTTCAGAGGAAGGAGCTTACAGTCGATGAAGGAAGAGACAGACTGAACAAATAGCTATTACTTGATATTGAAAAAAAAACAAATCTAAAGAGATTGGATCAGTGCACTACGACAGCATGAGGGAAGGGGCAGTCAAACAGGCCTTGAGGAAGAGGAGCAAAGAGAGATCAAGTTGTTCTGTGCAAGGGAAAAATCTGAGCAAAGGAACAGGGCCCATATGGAAAGCCATAAGTAGCTTAGCATAGGGTGTGTGGAAGGATATAGTAGGACTTCAGCCTGACAAAGTGAAATAAAAGTCAAACAGAAGTTTCTTATGGCCATAAGATGTATACAACTATTTTACCCAAACAAGATAAACATAGCCCTAAAGTAAACTGAAGGGGTAGCAAAATATTAGTAAACAATCATTCACTCAATACATATTTACAGGGCAACCGTAATTGGGACTATGCCAGGGGCTGGACATAGAGCAGGAAACAGGGAAGAGGCTCTGCCCTTAAGGAGCACAGCAGCCTTGTGAAGAGACTGACTGATAAACAGGTAATTACAATACAGTGTGGCAGTGGTAAATACAGGGTGCTAACCCACTGGGAAGCCAGCGTGGAAAGGGAAGTACAGTCCAGAAATCATGCTCCATGAGGAAAAAGCTGGTGTCTTATCCCTGGTAATAGGAAAGGACCTGGTTCCTAGTAGATATTAGATAAATAAATGAGTGAATGAATGACTACAGCATGAAGTTTCACCTCATTTTAAACCATGAGAATGAATAGAAATAGCCAGATGAGATATTAAAAGAAGGTAGCCTATATAAAACTTTCAGAAACACAGAAAAGAATTTTTTAGCCCAAATTCTTTCATTTTCTGTTTCCCCACACAAATTTACTCTTGTAATTTGCTAACCCTCCATTGTTGACAGTGGGGCTAATTTGCTACTTTTTCTTCCATAACATGAAAGTTTTTACACTAGACTTGATATAAAGTAGGTATGTGATAAAAATAAATGAATGATTGGCCAGGTGGGTCAGTGGATGGACGGATGGATGGAGAGAGGGATGGAGAGAGGGACGGAAGGATAAAGGAGGGAGGGAGGGAGGGAATGAATCAATTACCTGCAAGAAGCCTGGATATATCAAAGTACCTTTACATAATGTTACCACCTTAAATGTGTTTTTCTGGTTCATTGAGATGACTGAGAAAATGTAGTCAACAAAATTTCAACACCATTTTAAACAATGATGTAGAGCCTTGTCCAAGAATTACTGTTCTCATTAAAAGGGCTATAATGCAAATAACACAATTAAAATACAATCAAATCTATCACATAATATTCCATAAATGAAGAGCATTAAATAATTCACGCACCTTTAGGAAAGAACATTCCACTAAAAATTAAGTATTGAAACCACATGAAGGATTTTTTTTCCTTTAAGCATATGCTTTCTTGTTAAAAATATCCACATTTTCTCAAAGATATTAGCCTTATGCACATGGTTCAACATTCCAAATGCAAAACTTAACTGTTATCAATATAAGGCATCTGCTTTCCACACATGCCAATTTTTTGCAAGTTCTTCAAATAACAGATTTTAGTGATATCTAAGCTTGCCACATGTTCAAGGCTTATGCCAGCAGTCAATGAATTTGTATGACATTCATCTAGACCTCCAAAAGATCTTGGATTTCAATGGTAATAATTATACCAATAGTAATATACAACATATTCACATCTAATATGTTTTATTCTAGGCTAACCACATCAAACCTTATTTTTAATATTCACAATCTGCAATGCAGTCATAATTGTCACCAAAAATACTGCCTCAGAACTTTCAAGCTAACCTCGGCCCATATATACAAACAATCATAGTGCAAATTGGTAAACCTCTCTGGAGGACACTATAGACTGTTTCAAAAATCTTCAAATCTGCATTCCCTTTAATCCAGAAATTACAAAAATAGGAATTTAACCCAAGAAAATAATTAATGGTAAATTCAAAGTTTTCCTAAAGGGAAAATTATCCCAGTATTCATAATAGCAAAATATTTTTTAATCCCAAATGTGCAAGTACAGCCATGAAAAATTATGTCATATAAAAGCATTTATAATATATTATCATTGTCACAGTATACAATTAAGTGGAAAAATCATGTTACAAATAGCATGTAGAATGATCTTAATGCGTGTTTGCTTTTGTGTGCACACACATACACAGAGGACCTGGAAATACATGCCCCAGGGTACTAACAGTGGCTATCTCTAAGACTGTAAATGACTCTTAATTCTTCCTTTTCATTTATTTGTGTTTTCTGTCTTATTTTGACATAAATGAGCATTGCTTTTACAACTTTAAAAAAGGGTTATTTTAATTTTTTTAAATTATAGTTTTAGTTTATAAGAAATTTACTCATACTTCAAAAAGAGTAGCCCACAGTTCATGTCTGCTGCCATCAGGTGGTGGGATGCTCTACCCATCTTGTCTGAATCAAGAGACCCTGGGTCTCCCACCTCAACATTGTGTATCCCTGCAAATTCATAATATATGTTTTTTAAAAAAGAAGAATGGGTTCAAAATATTCATATCTTGAAAAATTATAATATGACTTTCATTTTTTCTATTTTGCTTGGTCCCCTCCTTCTTATATTTGTAATCATTTGATGAGAGTTGGCTTAACAGAATTCTGAAACCTACCAATGCTCCAAAGCCTCACACACACACATACACACACACGCGTGCACTGTTTAAAATCGAGATTTTTCACACCTATTTAATAAAATCATTTCTAACTAAATTTTTTAACTCAATTTACAATATCTAACCATAATTCCAGGGTGATATCTTGCCACCTAAAAAAAAATCAATGATTTCTAATATTTAAGTTGTATTTTTCTTATTCATCTATAATTATTGTCTCCCATTCAAAAGAAATGAATGATTTTCCAATGCACCCACACACAAATCCATTTTAGGATCAAACTTTTCAAGTAACAAAAACCTTCATAGATGTCCATTCCACCATCTTTTTTAGTTTAGAGGATTGTGTTTTCCAGAAAATGAAGAGTATTAGAAGTTCACATTGTCACCATACGTCACAGAACTTCAAATAGAGTTCCACTTCCAAATATTTCTATTTTCAACCTTTTAGTGTGGAAGATATTATTTTCTTTGATATATAACTAAGATCTTTCCAAAACAACCCTGCAGTGAGAGAGGCACCTTTGAAATGTTTGCAGGTAGGTAGGACAATCAATCTTGCTGTTAAGATCTCCATTTTTTTGTTTGTTTTTAGTCAGACCAATTATTTGTCTAAGGTCAAGATAAAAATTACCGCTGCATGAAGTTTTACTCTATAATACTGAAATAACAGAAGCAGAGAAAAAAACCGTAGGTATGTGTGTACAAGAATTCTGAATAGCATGGTGATAAAGGATGCGGCCTCTGTGTCAGACCAAACTGGGTTCATAATCCTTAATTGACCATTTTTCTAGCATTATCAACTTGGGCTAGGAACTTAACCCCTGAAAGGCCTCAGTATCCCAGGTGGTAAAATGGGCTATAAATTGACCTACCTCACAAGGTTATCATGAGGATTAAATGAGATCATCCATGTAAAACACTTGGAAGATGCCTGACACATAGTAAGCACTTCATAAATGCAGGTGATCGTTTCCAAGACACTCCATCTATTGTACAAGCTGGTTATTATGCATATGCTGCATGCAGACCAGAAGGCATGCAAAAGACGGCAGTTCCTACAAATTGCATGATGATTTTTGGTGGTAAATAAGTGCTATTCTGCCCTCTATGTAACACAGTCTGACCTTGAAAGTGTTTTCCATTCTCCAGTGAAAGCCATAGGAACTCAGGTCTATAGTCACAAAAGGAATGTGGCTCTTAAAAGCTTATGGCAGACCACAGATATGGGGCAGTTAACTTATCTAGAGGAAATGAGCTCTGGTTTTCTTTGCAGTCCTCAGATCCAGGAGCTGCAAAGTTGAGTCACCAGCTTGCTATCTGACCCCAGGCCAGCCACTTAACCTCTCTCTGACCCCATTTCCTTACTTAAAATCAACTCTCTGCTTATGTTCCATTCAAGTCATTATCTCTCCCCACAAAAATTGGTAGTAAGGTGTCCTGTAGATTTTGGAAATTAATTATTCTCTACGTTGGGTTTACAAAATAGAACCGTAAAAGGCTTGAAAATGAGTCAGTCTAGCTACATTTATTGGTATTTTGGTATTACTTTAGGAGCTCTTTTCCTGGAATAAAATCACCTACCCAGACAATAAGCTTTGTCTGACACTGTGACCCTAGTTCCTGATGAAGCTTTCTTGCACTGGTATTTCTGGGAATGACAGAATGGAAGAGAACAGGAGCCCCTTTGTCAGAAGGTAGTCAAGAGGGAAATAAATTTCAGTTATTGAAAGAGATTTAGGACAAGCTAGGCAGTGTCATTTGTTAGATAACTAAACCAGGAGCTTGGAGTATTCGGTTTTACACTCAGCCATTGTGTCTGTACTTGGCCTAGGACAATTTCCACAACTGTAAATAACCATAGGAGCGTTCTCCTAAAGAACCCTTCCAACTACCCACTTACACAAAATAACTGCAACACACACCCCTAAGTCCTCACATAGGCCAATTTCTCACCGTCCTGGGCTCTGTTGTGAACGCCTTGAGTGCAGAGGTACACTATGCTTGTCCTCACTCACACAGTGCCTAGCTCCATAAATGCTGACGACAAAGGCGAGAATGAAGAGTCTAACGTGTCAAGTCAAAAAGCACCTGAAGTTGAACAGAAAACCAAATACCGCATGTTATCACTTATAAGTGGGAGCTAAATGATAAGAACTTATGAACACAAAGAAGAAAACAGCAGAGGCTGAGGTCCACTTGAGCCGTGAGAGGAGGGAGAGAAGCAGAAAAGATAACTATTATATACTGGGCTTAATGCCCGGGTGATGAAATAATCCGTACAACAAATTCCCATGACACATGTTTGCCTATGTAACAAACTTTCACGTGTGCCCCCAAACCTAAAATAAAAGTTAAAAAAAATAATTTTATCCTCATTTAAAAAAAAAAATGAAAGCACCTGGGCCGGGCATGGTGGCTCAACGCCTATAATACCAGCACTTTGGGAGGCAGAGGTAGGTGGATCACTTGAGGTCAGGGGTTGGAGACTGGCCTGGTGGCCAAAACTAGTCTCTACTAAAAATACAAAAATTAGTCAGGCATGATGATGCTAGTAATCCCAGCTACTCGGGAGGCTGAGGCAGGAGAATCGCTTGAACCTGGAAGGTGAAGGTTGCAATGAGCTGAGATCGTACCACAGCACTCCAGCCTGGGTGACAGAAACGAGACTCTGTCTCCAAAAAAAAAAAAGCACCTGAAGTTTGCCTTGTCAACTTCAACTATGTTCAATTAAAAAAAAGAATGAATATTCTACACCTTTTCCTACCTTCTCACTGGTTTGAAGTCAGCCACCTCACCATTAATTGATTTTCTGGTCTGTAATAATTTTTCTTTTTTCTCACTTGCAACCAGAAGCAGCCCTTCCTGCTTCCAATTTGGTCCTTTGAAGCTGCTGAAAAATCAAACTGACAAAGTGTATCAGTTAGGGTTAAGTTCAGCTGTAACAGAAACTCAACTGTAGTAGCTTAAACACAAAAGGTGTATTCGCCTATGTAGAGGAAGTGCAGAGGTAAGCAAACCAGGCAGGAAGACTCCACAAGGCTATTTGAGACCCTATGAGTTTGCTCTGCCATATGTGACTTTTTCACAATCTAAGAAGGCTACTGGAGCTCTAACCATTGCAACCATGTTCTAAGCTGTAGAAACAGGGAAGGGAAGAATAACCAAAGCATACTCTTTTTTTATATATACTATTGTCCTAAAGGTACTACCAACATTTCTATTTCATCTTATGGGCCATAACTGAGCCACATGACCCCACTGCTAAAATGAAAGCTGGGAAATAGAATGTCACCCTAATGGATGCATTGCCACCCTAAATAAAATTTGACTTTTATTTCTAAGGGGAAGGGGAAAATGGATATCGGGATAGGCCAGTTGTTTTTTGTTTGTTTGTTTTGCTTCACTATTGCTGCCCAGGCTGGAGTACAGTTGCGCGATCTCAGCTCACTCAACCTCCGCCTCCCGGGTTCAAGCAACTCTCCTGCCTCAGCCTCCCAAGTAGCTGGGATTACAGGCACTACCACCATGCTCAGCTGATTTTTTTTTTTTTTTTTTTTGAGACGAGTCTCGCTATCGCCCAGGTTGGAGTGCAGTGGCGCGATCTCGGCTCACTGCAGGCTCCGCCTCCCGGGTTCACGCCATTCTCCTGCCTCAGCCTCCCGAGTAGCTGGGACTACGGGCGCCCGCCACCTCGCCCGGCTAATTTTTTGTAATTTTAGTAGAGACGGGGTTTCACCATGTTGGCCAGGCTGGTCTCAAACTCCTGGCCTCAGGTGATCTGCCCACCTCGGCCTCCCAAAGTGCTGGGATTACAAGCGTGAGCCACCGTACCAGGCTGGCCAGTTGTTCTTAAAGTGTGATTCCCAGACCAGCATTATCTGAGAACTTGTGAGACATGCAAATTACCAAGCCCCACCCCAGACATAAAGTCTGAGAATCATAGGATAGACAACAACAGACTCTGTCTCACCAGGTTGTTTGAATTTTGTATAATATGAGAGTTAATGGGTCTGAATGAGCATGTGCAGAGTATAGTGTGGCTTACTAGCTTTAGAACATATATTTCAAAGTCACTAAAGCCTTCTGTTTGTTTTGATTTTACTTCCTGTTCTCAAGATATAGAGACTGCTGGAAATCTAAACTAATAAGAAGCAATTACTAAATTATCAGGAACGGAGCATTAAAAATAGCATGTTTTCACTATGTAACAGTGTTAGGTGACATCTGGAACACAGGCAAGATTTCACTCTCTCTAAAATCTAAGGTTGTATTTTGCAATATGACCTTAAAATTTCTTTAAAATCCATGCCTTCTTTTATAAACAAAAAAGTCATATGCCTCCCTTTGCTGTTATGTGAAAAAATTAAATATTGAGATTAGAAATAAGTCAGACAATAATTTTACCATATGCTTTTCAAAATATACAAACACACATCCACATACCACCGCCACCTGCTTTAAGAATCACTATTCAAAGACAGAGACTATACCAAGCAAAGGGATAGACTCAAAATGTTGGCAGACAGTTTCATACGAAGCTTTAAAATGACTGAGGAGATAAATGGACTGATGTCTCTGGATCCAAATTTGGCTATTTGGCCTGCTGCTTCTTCAGTCACCAAACTGGAGGGGTAAACTGGAGATCTGATCCAACTTAACTAGTGTTTTAATTGATTCAGCCTGACTAAAACAGACATTAAGGCTAATGAGCCAACATTAAATAGATAATGCATTTAAACCAAATGCAAGGAGACAGCATATTTAATGGAGAAGAGAGAGATGTGGGAATGCAAGTTTAGAGCTTCCAATTACATGTAGACAGCTCCTTGCACTTCAGGAAGCTTGTAATTTTGTTGAATGAATGAGTAAACTTGATACACTGGTTGGCAGAGACCAGGACGTGATGAGCATGAGATGGTCAGATGAAGAGACCGTCAACTACTTCAGTGGTTTCCAATCTGTAGATATAAGATCTCAGAGGGAGATGTTATTGCAAATGTCTTCAACTCCTTATATGCAATATGCACTCTGCTGTCGATTGAACAAAAAGTGCAACCACTATCATGACAGGGTGGTAAGGAGAGCCAGAAAAAAACCCAAGATTTGATAATGCTACCACCAGAAATCTTGCAAAAGAAAATCTTCACAATCTTCCAGGCAAACACTCAGGATCTGGTAGGAAGGGGACAACTTCAGGTTTCCTGCCCTGAGTAGCATTTCTCCTGCACAACGCTTTCCAAACGTTTCTGCCAAAGTAGCCCTTTAAGACAGAGAAGAGAGATTGCCAGACCCTGGAATGTTTGCTAGCATATTCCAAAGCAGTGTCTGACTTCAAACTTGGAATTCCTTTGAAGTTTTCACTTAAACATGCATGCAAATTGCATTTTACCCCATAGATAGCATTTGTTTTTATTTTCTAATTTTTACCACCATGAAAATGTGATGGTCATATCCTCCATCTTCTTACATCCTCCATAGCTCATCGGATGCTAGGAGTACACATAGCCCGATTTAAAACTGAAAATCTGACTCACAAATAACCCAGAGGGTTACTGTGCTTAACCTTGCTTAAATGTTTTCACTTAAAGAATTTTTAATGGGGTTAAAAAAAAAAAACTCTCAGCCCTTTGGTATTTCTAAATTACACTCTGCTAACACACTTAGCTGGACGCCCCCTCACTTCAGGAGCTGAGGGTGGAATAAGGAAGATCATAACCTGTCAGATGACAGTTTTCACCAACACAAAGGAAATGAAGAAAAGGGATTTTCTCAAACAGCTTTTCTGAAAGATTACTGACAGGGAACCAGAACTATCTCAAACACAAGTAAAGCAGAACTTCTTTTAAAGGAAAATTATCCTATAATTTTCAAGAAAAGTGTAAACCCCTCCCTCTTTTGACTTAAATGGCTTTTATCATAATGTTACTAAATATAAATAAAAGCATAAAACTTGGATTAATTATTTCTGCTGTATTTATGCAACTGTGCAACCAAAACAAATTTACATATAAAATTTACATACTAGATAACAAACCAAAAACTTAGGATTAACAGCTTTACAATAATGCAATCAATGAGGTCATAGTATAGAAAAAACATCTCTCAGTGTGAATGATTATTTATGAAAACTGATTTTTTGAGTAAACATAAACGTACACTTGGCACAGAAATGGTAGGATATTACTCAGTTATAAAGTAGTTATCAAGACGACCAAGAATATACTTGAAAAAATTTAATTACCATCAAAGTGAATTTAAGCTTTTTAAATTACCATAGAAAATACGGACTTCAAAGAGTACGTCCGTAGACTCCTACTTCCCTGCCCCAGTTTTAGATGCATTGAGTGGGAGAAACAAAGAAAAAGAAATACAATGAGAGTTCTTACGTTGTATTATTCTGTTTGTCTTCACCACTAAACAGAATGTCCCATAAATACATGCACAATCTGGTTCATCATTGTATTCCCAGGTCCTGTGCAATGCCTGGCACATAGTAGGTCCTAAAAAAGTGTACTTATTGAATGAATAAATTGATTAAGTTCTATGAAATGGTTACAATCCAGATGCTGATTGAAAGAGCAAGGAAAAGCTACCTTAAAAGTCAAGGGAATATGTGCAATGATCAAAACTTTGGATATTATCAATAGGGATTTGTCACTTGTCTGGGAGAACATCCTGTTGCCAGATTATCACAGCATCTATGGCCCTGTAGGGAAGGTCTGGGAAATGACTGGAGTTAATTGTGTTGCCAGAGGAACTGGAGGAAATTGTGGTCCTGAAGACTGAGATACTTGGACTGATTTATATTTTATTTTCTTAAAAAGCTCTTTCTAACCCAAGGAGACATATAGGTATGTTTGCTAAATGATTTTCAATTTATGTGAATATTAAACTTTAAAGGGAGATGAACCAGCCTTTTAAATCCATTGTTAAGGTACTAGTAATAGCATAATTATGAAATATGATTATCACATAGGGCTTATGATACCAATTTCATTTTCCTTTCAATTGAAGAGGAGCTAGAAAAGGAACTAATTAACCAAGATAACCAAACTTCTTTTCCTGGAAATAACTCTGTATTTTTCTAGGTATGCATTATAAAATTATGCAAATGCAATGAAGAAAGCGCTCTCCTTTTAAAGTAGGTAAAAGTTTTTTGTTTGTACAAAAAAAAACAGATTTCACTGTGTATTTTGCAGTCTGTTGCCCATCTCCCCAAAAGGTAAACACTAATATATTTTCCATGCAGAAGTCTAACAACTGACAGCACTACTTGTTTTATCTATCCTAAGGGGCAGGTATGACAAGAGTGACTGATCACATGGTCTGGTAAGAATGGAGGAAATTACATAAAAATGCTTTCCTTCCCTATGTAATTTAAGACACAAAGGAGAATTTATTTTAACTTTTCATACTGAGAGTTTATTGTTTAAATATTCCTATATTTCATGTTAGCTTTCTCAAATTCCTCTTTTTTCATAAAATATGACTTAATTACAGTGGTAGATGCCTGAAGCGGGAAATCTAGATCTAGAATGAGGTCTATAAGCCATATTTTTCTGGTTGCTACCTGATCGATCAATCAAAAATTGTTTTGGGTACTTACTATGTGACTAATATGTTCTTATCTACATTTTCCTTGATTCTGAATTTTGTATTTTTAATTTAACATTTCAATATAGCATTATGTATAAATTCCCTCATATCCTTGGGGGACTGACATAAAGAATGGATGGATGAGTGGGTGGACAGACAGATGAATGGGTGAATGAATAAACAGAGAGAGGGAAAGAGAGATAAAATACTGTTAGCACATAAAGCCAGAAAGAATATAACATATGAAAAAGTTGAAAAGTATACATTATGGATTCTAGTGCTTCAGGAACTCAGAAGGGCCAATAATAGATGGGATTGACAAGAACACGTTTGCCTTTTTATTAACACATCCCAATAATCTCCAACACCACATCCATCACCTAGATTTTTCTTTTATCAAGGTTATGGTCATTGCTAGAGAAAATCACATGGTCTCTATCTCCCCTTCCCTTCAGTGAATTTTCAAACTTTTACCACTTTATTCCAGGCCTGTTGTTCTTCCTCCTCACTCTCAGAAGATTGCATCTCCTACTTCACAGAGAAATTTGTAGGAATCAGATACAAATTTCATCAATCTCATCATTGTCAAATCCAGTGAATTCCATTATGGTCCTTGACTTTCTTGACCTTTCAAGCACTTGAAACTGATTGCCACTTCTTCCTTGTTGAAACCCTCTCTTCTTGGCACCTACAATACTCCTTGCTCCTGAGTTCTCCCTTACCTGTCTGGCCCTTTCTTCTCAGATACCTTCATAAGTTATTTTTCTTCAGTTTATATTTGCTGTGTATTTTAGTCAGCAATTGCTACAATAATGCTGTCTAACAATCCCAAAACTCAGGGATTTATTCAAGCATTTATTCCCACATTTTCAAGTCAGCAGGTGAATTATAGTTTAGCCAAACCAGGGTGGGCACGGCATCAGAGTGTGCGTCAGCTGGGCTTGACTCTGGGTTGCAAGTTGGGCTCTAATCTCTACCTGTTTTGATTCTGGACCCAGCCTGAAGGAACAGCAGCCCCTGGGAGCACGTTTCTCTCATGGGCAGATCACCAGAACAGAAGAGGGGAAGTCCAACTCCTCAAGCACATTTCAAGCCTCTGCTCATATCAAGTCCACTAACATTTCATTAGCCAAAGTCAGTCAGGTAGCCCAGCCTAATGTCAAGGTATAAATGTGTACCTCATCGACCATGAAGCCAAAGGTGTGGCTCTATAATTCAGTTACCAGAAAGTAAGAACTTGATATAATATTCAATTTTGTTTTCCAAGTTTCTTTCCTCAGCCCATCTCCCCTCTTACCTCTTCCTGACTTCTTATCCATGCCCATTATATATTAATAGTCCCCAAATTTACATAGATTCCATCCAGATTTTTCTACTGATATCAGACCCATAGAACCAGTTGTCAAATCCCAAATCTCTAGTTGGAAGTCTCACAGGCATCTGAAATGCAAGATAAAATCAAAACATAGGGAACTGCTTATCTTATCCCTTCATAGTTAAAGAGCTCAAACTTGTGACTCTAACCCAATTAATACTTAGTTTGGAGTTATTATGTGTCAAGCACTATTCTGGGGACAGGATATTACATGGTAAAAAAAGTTTGCTATATTGCTACCCTATTTCTTCTTACATTGCACCATTATAATCTCTTGCTCTATCTCTACCCCTGGCATCTTGTATTTAAGAAATATTATCTATATTCAGAAATGGTTTCGTAACTTCTCGGAAACCCTCATGTAGCTTACATTTCACATGCTTGTTAAATAAATCTAAATTTCTAGGTATTATGCAGGGTTACACAGTCATCACTATATTACTACAAATAATATAGAAAATGGATTTATTATAGAGGTTAGACCATATGCAATTGTAGGAGCAGTATTTGCAGGCTGATGAAGAAGTCCATGCAGGCTATGGTCACTGTGACTAGAGTTGGTCCGCTATAGTTAATTCACTATAGTTCAGCCACAGAGACAGCTAGGATGGAAAACTGAATATAAAGTGAAAATAAGAACAAACTAGAAACCATAAGGATGAGCTGGGACCTCTATCTGTCTCCCACCATCTCAGTCCTGATGCCCTGGGTGACACACCCACTTGCCTTAGCACTTGGAGAGGCTGATGGAAGAGATATGAAGAGCTGGAGGAGCTTCAGGTTTAGGAGTTGCCCTACACCAACTAGGTGAGCCAGCAGATTCCACCACATGTGTGAGCTGCTACAGTGCCTGGGACCTACTACCTACCTTCAGAATATAATATACGCACAAGGTCACTTTGGCTTTTCAAATATTGGGCAAAAACCTGTGGCCAATGCTAACCTGAAACCACAAAGAAAAGAAGATTCTGGGAAACATAGTTACAGTGTAGCCAAGCCGACACAGTACAAAGCCCTCAATGTTCATTAAAAATAGGTATATAAACATGAGATGTTACTTAAATGGGACCTGAATGATAAGAAGAGTTTGGATAATCCAATAGCTGAGGGGATTCACCTAAAAGACAAAAATAAGTCTAGCAATTTATCATAGTAAGTGGTTTGGCCTAACTTCAGAGGCTTATCTTTTAGAAAAATGGAATTAATAATATATTTCCCTGCTGGAGACTGTATAAAGATTTTATGGAACCTGATTAAAAGATGCTGGTAAATCAATACACAAATCCCTAGTGTTAAGTGTTTTTAATTATTATTATTTGGAGGAAAGATATTACATCGAGACAAGAGAATCCATTCTTTACACATACAATAACTTCAAGCCACAGAGGAGTGATTTAAAATGTACTCTCTAGGGCCAGGCATGATGGCTTACGCCTGTAATCCCAGCACTGTGGGAGGCCGAGGCAGGTGGATTGCTTGAGGTCAGGAGTTTGAGACGAGACTCACCAACATGGTGAAGCCCTGTCTTCACTAAACATACAAAAATTAGCAAGGTGTGGTGGCAGGCGTCTGAAATCCCAGCTACTAGGGAGGCTGAGGCAGAAGAATCACTTGAACCTGGGAGGCGGAGGTTGTAGTGAGTCGAGATCATGTCATCGCACTCCAGCCTGGGTGACAAAGAGAGACATTGTCTCAAACACACACACACACACACACACACACACACACACCACAATTAGCTGGGTGTGGTGGCATGTGCCTGTAGTCCCAGTTACTTGGGAGGCTGGGGCAGGGGTATCACTTGAACTGGGAGGCAGAGGTTGCAGTGAGCCAAGGTCACGCCACTGCACTGCAACCAGGGCGACAGAGCAAGACTCCATCTCAAAAAAACTTAAATAAAATAAAAAATAAAAATGTACTCTATAGGAGTCATTTAATGGTGGCCTAAAAAAATGAATGCACGACCCTGTGACTAACTTACATGCAGGTAATAACATACTCTCCTGGAAGCATCTGGCTCATTACCTTCACACTTATTCTGAAGAAGGTGCCAATCACTTGACTGTCTTGGTACAAGTGACATAATTTAAAACAGATGTTACATCTCAATAATGGAAAGAAGGTTCTGTTTGGAGAACTGAAGAGTACAGGCAGTGCTGCTGCTGGCAGGCCCTGCGGGGCAAGGGTTTCCACCAGAAGAAGTTGACCTGTAGTACACCCAAACATTCACTTTCCTTACCTTTTTCCCTTTTGCCCTCTCCTTCATTATCTACTCATCATTCTCCCTGGTTCTAAGAAAAGAAGCCAATAAACTAATTCACACTAAGGTGTAAAAACCTGATAAGACAGCTATGGGACAGTAACAAGGCCATAAGCCAACAAAAAGAATCCTAGTAATGAGATTTGGGAGAGTCTTGAGCCAATAAGGGAGGAAATAACCTCATCCAAATTCCCTCTAATTTATCTACCCGCTCACTTAGGGCTTGTCTGATCCCCTGCCTGTCATGGAGAGCTCACAGATGGTAAGATGTCCCATCTGTACCTATACCTCCCCAGTGCCAGCACTTCCCCCAACAGACTCCAGATGCAGGGTACACTTCAGCCACAATTTGTGCTGGTTCCTTATGAACAATTCAGGCATTCTAACTAATAACAGTCCAGTACTATCTCCTGGACACTGCTTTTTCTATTGACTGAAACTCCTAGGCAGAATGCTCAAAATATCTTTCTCAACATCTTTCTCTCTCTCACTACTGAAATCTCTCTCCAAAACTAGATGTTAGTATAGATGGATGGATGGATGGATAGACAGATACCTATCATAAAGGGGAAATATGAATTTTAAAACAAGAAAACAAAAGAAATGAAATACAAAGTAGCCTGAATGGATTTCCTTTGCTAATACCAAAAAGGCTTTTAAAATGATGTTTAGGTTTACACATTGTCCAGAACTGCACTTCTATCCCTCAAGCTTCCTAAAGAAGCACCCTTAATGGTCTAGCCCTGAAAGCATCCCCCACCCTGTTGTCTGCCTTCCCTCTCTGCAACAACCCACCTCCTCCCCAGCCCTTGAGCAGCTCAGATCTATTTTAACGCCAAGAGAGCACTGCACAGGGGGTCCCCACTTTACTGGAGCCAAGGGCAAAGATAAAGCTTTGAAATTGTTTGCAATAGCTTAAAATAACTAGTCTGGCAAAGCTAAGCTACACTTTGATAGAGAAAACAGAGCAGCAGAAGACAGAATTTTAACCATCCAGCTGCCCATAAATGACCTCCCTGCATTGCCCAGCAGTGCACTTCCTTTCCATGAGAACATCTCCCCCAAGGCAGAGACAATCATTCAGCTTTTTATCTTTCGCCCACCTATCATCTTTTTAAATGTCTAACTGAATAGTAAAAGAACAGTGACAATGAGAGAAGTACTTTTAATGTAATTTATTATGACTTCAGAAACCACAGCCAGAAGACAAATACATCTGTGGATGTATTTTCCTTTTAGAATGACCAAAATTTACTCATCATGAAATCCTCTGTTGTAAGCATGTCCCAAAGGATTGCAAAACAAAAGCTAGATTCACCGGCTTCTTCCTTGCTAAACAAGACTCACCCTGTCCCTTGGGGCAGCCAGCAACCAAAAAGGGTTTGCACCCTGCCCCATAGGGCAAGCAACTGAGAGCAAGAAGGGACCTAAGTAGGGAAAGTCTGCGCAGAGGGGGTCTTGGGTCCCACCTGCCCCATCCAGGGAATTAAAGCAAGTCACTTGGATGGAGGTCCGATATTTAGATGCATGGTAATCAACACAATCTCAGCGTTTCCCTGAAGCAGGCACAGAACCAACATGATGCACCAGCAGGCGCACAGACACTTGTGTTCCTGCCAAACCCTTGGGCAAGCTGGATCCAGTCTCTATTACCTAATTTGATTCTGGGCCCTTGGCTACAATGGTGGATGAGGTCCAAGCCCTAGTAAACCTCCATCTCCTGAAAGGTTCCCAGGAACCTGGGTTCGATCTAGCACCTTCACAGAGGCAACGCTCATACTACATACCCACCCCCTCTCCTCCACTAGAAAACAAACAGCTTCCAAGCTGGGCCCTAAAGACTTCTAAACTGAAGGTAGCCAGGAATGCAACAGGAGATTCTTAAGCAAATAGGAGCAGAAGTTGGCATTATCACCAAGCCAAAATTTCTGAGATGTGAGGAGCCCCAGCCTGTTCCTAAGTATGCTGATATTCCTAAATGTCATTTATTTATTTAGCCATCACCCTTCATAAGACTTTTTTTAAATCCTAACACTGGGTATCCAAGGATCCGTTTTCGATTCACCTTGCTATCCTCATAATCTAGCACTGAGTCTAGCACACAACACACAAGCAACAAGACTGTTGAACTGGAATAATCCTTGCTGGTGGTGGTAATAAGGTACACGTCACAGACCACATACTTCTTTACGTTAAACTTAGTATACTGCATTTACTTGTATGCCACATTATAAGCTTATAGAGGACTGGAGCCATCATAGGTGATCAATAAATATGTGTTCAAATATTTGAAGTGTTCAAATATGTGAAATATGTACATCAAATATATAAAGTCAGAGAAATGAATTTCTCAGGACCAGGATATTTTTTAAAAACTCATTTGAGCTTATTATTTCAAAATTATCTACCAACTATTTTTTTAAATCACCATTGCTAAAAAGTTACAGAATGTTATATATTGACTTTAATCGCCTCTTCTAATCAATTGTAATGGGCACAAAGGGGAAAGGAGAGATACCCTCGGAAAGTCAAAGGTTAAAGAGTTGAAGAATTATTGCCTGCTAATTAGGTATTTTCTGTAGTGGCAGGGCTACCTAGTAAGCCCACTGCAGTGGGAAAGGATCTCATGGTGTTGGCAGTGTCCACTTGTCAGCATATAGTCTCTGGGGCTTCTTGCCCAGCAGTCTGGAGCTAGGAGCAGACATCTTTCCAAGTAACTAGGCATTTAGCTAGTTGGGCCAAATGGTTCCCATGGATACATCTCATATCAAGAATTATATGACATCTGTATGCTATTTGATTAAGGCATTTTTCAGTGTTAATAAATTTGAATTGGTGAATGTTACTGGAAAACAGGAAGTTCCTGAGTAAAGGTGGAAATTTGATGTGAAAATTTAAGGCAAATCGACTTCCTATGA
This sequence comes from Homo sapiens, assembly GCF_000001405.40. NCBI lineage: Eukaryota > Metazoa > Chordata > Mammalia > Primates > Hominidae > Homo > Homo sapiens. The sequence goes on along the minus strand of NC_000012.12, from coordinate 42,778,071 downwards.
GATACAGATTTTGATGCAATTCATTAAACTGTATTTTTCAGTGAGTCTAGAAAAATAGAACATGGGTGACATCTTAAATATACAACATTCCAATTTTACCCAAGCCAAATAATTGTATGTTATTATAATAATACACACTATTACTAGGTAATAATAGGGTTGAATTCATATACTAAGCACTTTACAACTACAAATACAATAGTATTTGCAGTAATGGTTATCATCAAGTTTGCAAGAAGCTTATTGCCTCCATTTTCATGTGCTCACATGCCTTAATACCATTGAATTTCCCAAAATCCTTCGGGAGAAAAGTCACAAAGGGGTGAAGCAACTAAGTAGAAGAGAAAGGTGAAGGAAGTCTTTGCTATTTCCAAAAGGATCTTGGTTTATAGTGGGGGTGGGGAGGGGAAGCATGAATGTAGGAGTCAGACTACTCTGGATTTGAATCCTCGCTCTTATTTATAAGCTATGTGACTTTGGGCAAATAACTTAATGACTCTTTCCCAATCTGTAAAGATGGTGATAATAACACCCCTTCAGAAAGTTGATGCAAAAATTAAGCCAGATAATGCATGTGAACATGCCTTGCATCACACATAGAAGATAGTACATGCTCACAAATATCTAGTTTTCATCTTTACATAGAATTAATCCTTTGCTTAAAATTCATGGCTGACCCTGGGAAGCACGAAGAACTTTGCCCTCTCCTTCCCATTTTCCCCACATTCTCCCAGGTGGTCAGGCCCACCCTCACATTTTTTTTTCTTCCATTCTCCCCTTAGGTCGAGTGAAACTTGTGATCTCAGGTAACTGAGGTTTCAATGATTTAAAAGGGTACCTTCCTACAGGCAGGGGAAGGTTTTTAGGAAGGTCTAGATTTGGGGTCCAACTTGTATCCTAAAGCGGCATCAGGTAGAGAGAGTGGTCTGTGAGGGCTTTAATCCAGAAAAAAATGAAACATGAGCTGAACAATCAAAGTTCCCCTGTTCTGGAAACAGACGTGACGACTGTTTCAGTGAAGGCTGCAAGGAAAATGTTGCATGCTGACCTAATAGATAATAGCACAAAGTGTTTTCCTTGTAGGGAACTCAGAGCCCTTTGAGATCAAAAGTTCTATTTGTGCTGAGAATAGATTTTCCCCACTCTAGAAGTTCTGGAAGTCTTGCAGTCCCCTGAAGGGAATAAAGACCTTAAAACTGAAAGGTCTTCATATGGTTTTCCTTTAGGATATGTTTAGTTCAATAGGGGAAATGCAATTTACCTCCAAGATTTATTATGCACTTCCAGAAGGTAGACGTTTACTCTCCCCTCATCACCAGGATTAGGCACAATTATGTCATTAACCTTCCAAACATTCCTTTTGGATGGTGGTGAATTTCCCAATAACCATTATGGTCAAGCTGAGGTCAGGGGTAAACCAAAGGTTAAGCATCACAGAGTCTAGGGTCGTATAACTTCAGAGGCGAAAACCGTGATTGGAATCTAGGTTCTCTCTCTGGTGGATTGCCTCACTCCCATGCAGGTTGGTTTGCCTCTTCTGATACCTACAGAGACTTTGAGTCCCGGACGTTCACAGGACATGAGGAAAGCACAAAAGAGATGGAAAAACGATCAAGTAACCATGAACAAAAGGAGGGGTTCCTCCGCCTGCTTCATCATGGCTGTGACCCGTTTATCAGGGATATGGCTTACACAACTAAAGCTCTATAGAGAAAAATCTAGACCAAATCAGTGGGTTTATTCAACAAGGTCAACCAACCTGGAGCGGGGCAGCATCAGCCAGTGCAGCGACAAAACTGGATTCTTCCAGCTAAACTTTTTCCTGCATAAACAGGAAATAAGCAATTTCTCTCCTCTTATTACGTGAATTGTCTAGGTTGCAGCTCAGATGCTAAGTTAAAACAACTGAAATATACTGAGATTCTACTGTGTGCTATATCCGACACTGGGCATTTTACATATATTTTCTGATTTAATTTTTAATAACAAACTGCAAGTTATATATTATGCTCCCACTTTACCAAGAACACTGAGGCTCCAGAAGACCAAGTAATTTACCCAAGTGAAGTAACAGAGCTGGGACTTTTACTATGCAAAGTTTAGCAGGCTCCAAAGTCTGTGACCTCTGTGCTTTGTTTTCATTTTCTTGCAAAGAAACTCGCTGTAAGTTGAAGGCCTGATCACAACATTCCTCTTTCTCTCTCTAGATGGCTCACCTGAAATTTCTGACAACCTGCTTCAGCTGGGATTAATTTCTTTGAAGTGAAATCAGTTTAACTGAGGAATCAATTTGCTTCCTTCCATATATGCCAAGGAAAAACTGTACATAGACATTGACCCACAATACCTGGTTGACCACAGGATCCGCAAGAGATGTCCAAATTATGAACTTCCATTAAAAAAAAACGGTGGTTCTATGGCTGCCTGGAATGGCCATATTTAATTGCTCCCCAGGATAATAGCATTTATTGTTAAACTTGCTAGAAACATAACAAAAACGTAAATGCTAATCTTTAAAATAAGCAGGACTCCTATCACATCCTTCTCTTGTGGCTTTTTTCCCTATACCCCTGCTTTGGGACCTGCCTGTCTGGAATGTAGAGGCTCTGGAACAGGGATTCTCAACCTCAGCACTGTTGACATGTGGGACCCAAAATTTTGTGTTGGGAGGCAGAGGGGCGGACAGTCTGTCCTGTGCATTGGAAAATGTTTAGCAACAACCCTGGCCTCTACCTAATAGATGCCAGTAGCAATCCCCCTCCCCCTTCATGAAAATAAAAAATGTCTCCAGATGTCACGGAATGTCTCCTGAAGGATAAAATTGCCCCTGGTTAAGAATCACCAGTCTCAATCATGCACTTACCACGAAGCTCTAGGAAACTATAAATAGAGTATTATTGTATAGCCCTGAGATCTTTTTAAGGAAACTACCGTGCTTGATTATCTTAATCAGCTGATAATCTGGACTCGGAAGTAGATGGTATTCTCTAGGTGTCATCTGTGGAGTAGAATAAAGAAGTTCCAACCTCACAGAATTTTGCAAGAAATGGCCGTTCGTTTCCTAGGTACCGAGTGGACAAAAAAAGCAAACAAATAAGCAAATAAACAAAATCCCTAAAATGGAAATGGGCGGTCTTTAAAATGTCTGCTTGTGTGTGTACATTTTCAATTTAATCTTAACAGTTATGGGAATGAGAAAAACACAATTTTCCATTTCTACACATAGGGACTTTTTTGGTGCAAATAAATCAGAGAATAAAACATGAAGATATTCAAATGGCTTCTTTTCTCACTTGTACTCAGTACCAAAGCACAAGAAGTCATTTTCTTAAAGAGTAAGAAGGAAATGTCTGTTGGTAATATGCTATTTGAGTCTTGCAAAACTGTTTTAATTCTGCAAAGTTTTTGTCTTTACTCCTTGGCTTGAATGAAGTTATAAAATGGAAAATAGCTGTACAACATAGCAATATAAATATCAGTCTAGGTGTGTTTGATCTTTTCACCTTTTTCTAATTAAAAATAATAATAATCTGGCTAGAGTCAGTTACACCAGGGATTATTCAAGCAGGTCTTTAGCGGTAGAGTTGTCTGTGACTAAACACTATGTTATAGATGAAATGCAAACAAATTCTCCACATTTTAGAGCAACGCTGGCAATGGAAGCATTGGATTGAGAGAAGCTGGAGATAGAACGATCTTAAGTAATAGAAGAAATAAACTATCTAATCACCAGAGAAGTCATTTCATCTTGTCACATTTCATATTGTGACCCTATTCATCTTAGAGACAGAATGTTCCAAATGCTTGGGAAAGATTCAGAGGAAGGATGTGTATGTAGATATAAGTATCCACATATATATTCACTTAATCCTCCCAACAACTATAACAAGTGAATACTGTTCAGTGAATACTGGGAATACGTGAATAGGAAGTGAATGCTGTCCCCATTTTTCTGATGAGAAACTGAGGCACAAAGAGGTTAAATAACTCAAAGCCAAATATTTAGCAAGAGGCAGACCCAGGATTTGAACCTAGCAGCCTGATTCCCAAGCGAACACTCACCTATTATACAGAACCACCTCTTTCAAAGGTTAGAAGCAAGGATCTAGGAAGGAAATGGGATCGTTTGTCCCAAACAAGTACAAAGTCATATATCATTTAAAATACAGCCACACTGGAGGAAGACCTGACAATTACTCAGTTAACTTAATCCCTGTAGAGATAAATTCCTTAGGGGTTAATGAAAAAGGGTACTGGCACATCCCCTTCTGCTCTCTGTACTCGTCAAATTAGCCACGTAATTGCCGAATCCCAAACCCACTTGGTAGATACAGCTGTAATGTTACTCTTTAAAGATAAACAGTTTTGTAAATAAGCATCTTCCCACTCCCACTCCCACTGAGGGCTAAAAAGCACCCCTGTGTGGAAGACTGAGTAATCACGTTCAATCTGGAGTGAGATATGCCAGACTGGGGAAGAGACGCTTCATGGTTACCTGGGAGACACTGCTGGGATTGGACTGCTGGGCCTTCCTCCCACCAGCTGCTACCATTTCTCTCCCATCTAAGAAGTTCCCTTGCTTTCCTCTCTGTCTCCTCCTCAGTCTTCCCTTCTTCCCCCTGCCCTCTCAACATAGGTGTTCCCAAGGTTCTGTCCTCGGCCATGATCACGGGTCCCACCATCTCACAAAACGATTCTACATTTTGCCCTCCAGTCTAACCCCTCCTTGAATTCCAGACCCTCATTCTTACCTTCCTGCTGGACAGCCCCTTTATGTGTCCAAAATAGAATTCACGAGTGCCCTCTCCAAAAAAAAAATCCCCATGTCAATGATTGTAACGAATGACTATTGTCTCCGTCACCCAGTTCTCCCTACCACTTCCTACTGTATCCCACCATTCACCCAATGCTGACTGCAGGTCAGCACTGAGTACCTGAAATGTGCCTAATCTGAAATGAGATGTGCTATAAAGGCTTATTAGGAAATTTTACATATATATAATTAATAACTTCTATATTGATTGCATGTTAAAATATTTTAATATATTGCGTTAAAATATTAAATCATTTCACCAGTCTCATTTTAGGTTTTTTTTTTTTTTTGAGACAGAGTCTCCATCACCCAGGCTGGAGTGCAGTGCTACAATCTCAGCTCACTGCCACCCCACCTCTTGGGTTCAAGCAGTTCTCCTGCCTCAGCCTTCCTAGTAGCTGGGACTACAGGCACATGCCACTATGCCCAGCTAATTTTTGTAATTTTGCTCTGTTAGACAGGCTAGTCTCGAACTCCTGACCTCAAGTGATCTGCCTGCCTCAGCCTCCCAAAGCACTGGGATTACAGGAGTGAGCCATCACGCCTAGCCTCATTTTAGATTTTTTAATGTAGCTAAATAATGACCTTGCAAAGATATCAACTTCCAAATTCTTGAAACCTATGTATATGTTACCTTATATGGCAAAAGAGACTTTGCATACGTGATTAAGCTAAGGATATCGAGATGCAGGGGATATCCCGTAGTATCTGGATGGGTCCAATATAATCACAGGGGTCCTTACAAGAAGGAGGCAGAGGGAGATTTAACTGCAGAAGATACTATCCCACTGGCTTGAAGATGGAAGATGGGGCCACAAACCAAGGGATGTAAGTGGCTTCCAAAAGCTGGAGTTGTCAATGAAACAGATTCTCCTCTGAAGATTCCAGAAGGAAAACAGCCAAGCCAACATCTTCATTTTAGATTTTTGACCTCCAAAACTGTAATAGAACAAATTTGTGCTTTTTTAAGCCCCTAGGTTTGGGGTAACTTGTTATAGTAGCAATAGGCTACTAATACATGTGGCTACTGGGAAATTTAAAGTTACATGTGGCTTACACTTGTAACTCACATTCTGTTTTTGTTTGTTTGAGACAGGATCTTGCTCTGTCACCCAGGCTGGAGTGCAGTGGTGTGATCATGGCTCACTGCAGCCTCAACTTCCTAGGCTCAAGCGATCCTCCCACCTTAGCCTCCCAAAGTGCTGGGATTACAGGCGTGAGCGAGCCACTGTGCCTGGCCAACATTCTATTTGTATATCACAGCATTGCTCTAGAATCTTCTCCTTGTCAGTCCCTTCTCCTGCAACATTGCTGTCATGCTGTTGCTTCCCTGCTCAAATGCTGCCATCAGCAACACAAGTGGATAAAATGAAGCCCAAATTCCTCTCTGCCTTTCAAATCTCTCTCCATCACTTCCCCATTTCCAGTCTTTGCAGTTTCATCAGCACTATACCACTAGCACCCAAAAAAATCTTATCTTTCAACCAATCTAGTCTACCTCTGCTTCCACAAATTTCCCTTATTTTCCTGTTTTTATCTTTTTCCCAAGGTTTTTCCTCTATCGCAAATGCATTTATTTTTTCTCATTTATTTCATGTATTTGCTTTTTTAAAATCTTGTCCATCCTTTGAAATGTAGTTTAAATCTCACTTCTTCCAAGTAGCCTTTCTCAGCCCCCACTAGGGTTAATTGTGCTCTCTTCTGTGTCTCCTATTGCATATTATCACTTATATCATAACATCATGGAGATCTGACTTACAGTAGAGATGTTGCTGCCCTGCGTGCTTCCAAGGGCAGGGGCCCGCCATATTCATCCTGGTTCTGTGAATTGTGTCCCCCCAAGGTTCACATGTTGAAGCCCAAACCCCCAATGTAATTTTATCTGGAGATAGGTTCTTTTGGAGAGTGTCCTTAATTAAGGTCAAATGGGGTCATAAGGATGGACCCCTAATCCAATAGGACTGTGGCCCTATAAGACAAGGACGATCTCTCTTTCTCTCTCTCTTTCTCTATCTCTACCTAGGTCTCTCCCACCTCTTCTCCTACCATGTGAGGCCATAGCAAGAAGGTAGCCATCAGCAAGCCAGGAAGAGAGCCCTGCTGGCACCTTGATCTTGAACTTTCCAGCCTCAAAAACTATGAGAAAATAAATTTCTGTTTTTCAAACCACCCAGTCTGTAGTACTTTTTTATGGCCAAAAGATTGGGCCTTCAGGGGCCACTCTAGGTTTCCCCTCCACTGCTGTGGTGCAGATGCTGAGGATTGACTTGCAGGCACCATGGAACTATTTGAACAAAGGACTCCTAGGAAAAGACTGGACTTTCTTTGTGAGCTGATGAGATTTTCGACTAACAGTTCATTGATATTACCACAGTTGTATCGATAGGCTGCTGAAAGTCAGAATATACTGGAGACAGAGAGATAGGCAAGAGAATCTGTGATACCAAGCAGAAAGTTTTAAACAGAAGAGGTCTGGATGTGCTTCTTGAAGGGTCTGGATATTATTTATACCAGCCTGCACATTTGTAACAAAACTGTAGCCAGAGTGCAGGTCTCAAAGCTCCTTACCCAGCATCCATTCAGGTAGTCCACCTTGCATGGCCATTTTTCTGTAGTACAGGCTTTGAAGAGATTTGTATATTTCCATGAATAAAATAGTTTAATAAGTATTAATTTCAAGTCATTCATTTAAAAACATAAATTGGGCAAACGGGCCAGACGAAAACTGTTATGCAACCCCAACATGAAAGGTCCCTTGATTGCATTTGTAGGTGACATGACGACAGCTCTCTATTCTTAGTTCCCTGAGTGTCACCAGCTGTCCACCATGAGAATTCTGAAACATTTTCCCAGAGAACAATGTGTTGAAACATGCTAATTTTACCACCTTGTGAGAGAGTCATATTAGCCTAATGTTCATGGCCTAAAATTGTTACCTTCAGATGGATCAGGTTGAAATTGGACATTAAAAAGTGGGAGGTTTATTTCTACCTCAACCAGTTCTCTGATTCTTCAACACCAACTGGGTGTCCAACAATTCAATTCAATTCTGATCATTCAGAGTTAGCCCACTCTACAGATTAAGGGCTCAGTCCAACAAGACTGTCCCTACTTCAGACACTGCAAACAGGGTGCCCAGGCTACTCACCTGTCTACCTGGCTAACTGCAAATTCAGAGCTTCCTAAGATCCCTCTATCAGGTTCAATAATTTGCTAGAACGACTCATGGAACTCAGAAAGCACTTTACATACTATTACCAGTTTATTGTAAAGAATATAACTTGGGAACAGCCAAATGGAAGAGATGCACAGGGCAAGATGTGGGGAAGGGGCATGGAGCTTCCATGCCTTCTCTGGGTTCGCCACCCTCCCAGGATCTTGATATGAATGCCAACCAGAAGCTCTCCAAACCGGGTGGTTTAGGGGGTTTTATGGAAGCTTCATGACAGAGGCATGATTGATTAGATCACTAGCCATTGGTGACTGAACTAAATCTTCATTTCCTCTGCCCTCCCTGGAGGTCAGAGGGTGGGGCTGAAAGTTCCAAGCTCCTAATCAAGACTTGGCCTTTCTGGTGACTGGCCCCCACCCTGAAGTTATCTAGAGGTCCTCCCAAGAGTCACCTCATTAGAACAAAAGAAGCTCCTGCCACCCTTATCACTCAGGAAATTCCACAGATTTTAGGAGCTCTGTGCCAGCAACTGACAGGGGACAAGGACTAAATATATACTTCCCATTATTCCACAATGAGGAAAGTATCTTACTTTTCTTCCTAGAATAATATAGAGGCCATATTATTTGTATCAATCTGCACATTAACGGGAAGGTCGGTAAAACAGATATTTGCATCCCTGTTTCATAAATTAGGAAGTTCCTAAAGCTAGGATGTGAGGAAAGTCAAACTCATGTTCTCACATGTGATCAGAAAACATTTTTAAATGTAGATAACTCATGGACTATTCAATTTAAAGAGAAATCAAGGAATCTACCAGTTCATCATCCTAGGTCTGGGGCAGCAAGACTAGGAAGTGCTTGATTCCTCTTCTCACTGAGCTTTAGGCCTTCCTGGCCCCACTTTCTAAAAGTGCTTTGCCAGCTACCCACGCCGCTGAATCCAAATGCTCACATAGACATTTGTTTTTATCAGTAAACCTGACTGACCTCCCCAGCTAAGCCAGATTCCCCTATTCATCAGTGCTCTCCTGGCACCACTGACTTCACCATAGCACTTACCACTCCAGTAATTTTACATTTGTATGTAATTCTTTAATTATACAAGATGGTATAATATATTTTAATGTCACTCTTTCCCCACTAGTCCATAAGCTTCATGAACCCACCAGTTTAACCCCAGCATCTAGTAGAATGCTAAATTTGTATAAATATTTACTAAATAGATTCATTTATCTTGACCTCATCTTCTGACTCTAGTCCAATTATTTTTATTTACTGTACTATGGAAACCTGAATTAGTCCTTCTCCGCTTATAATCACAAACTGGTCAGAATCTTAAAGGAGTATTCTGTTCAATGTGGAGTTTCTTAATTAAGAGAAAGTAAAAATTCACATAAATGCTAAAGTTTCATGTGTCCCCTCTCACAGCCCCAGGCCCCTGTGCCTAATAGAACCTGCCTGTGAAATCTGGCTCATTAATCCTGTTGTCCAGTTTGGAACCTGAAAGTTTCAGGATTCACTAAATGGTGAATACAGATAGACCCCTACCAGCATTAACAGATCATTGTCGTTGACTCCAAAAGATGTGTGAATGCTTAGGAAGTCCTCCTTCTGCCACAAATATGTCAAGGAATCTTCAGGATAAATCTACTGGGCCATTGTTTTCCACCACTCTCAGATGAACCACGGCCACACAACTCTAACACCCCACAGAAGTCAACTGTGGATCAGAATTTCTGCTCCTATAACATTGCTCCCTGAAAATTCTGACAGTAAAACTGGCACGCCACACAAGAGTTGCATGAAAAGATATGATTCTTTCTGCATTACCTTCACTTGGGTTCACAGCCACGTGGTTTATTGGCAGGCTTCCTCTCCACAGGTGATGCTTTTTCCCAGGGCTCTGGGGCTGGAGTGAGCCCCCATGACAGATGGGGAAGCAAGAAGAGGTCATGCTTCTCACTCTGACCTCCAGGTCAAGGCAGGGTCTGACTCCCTGTACCAGCCTCCCTCTTCCACAACCCCTCTCCAGAGGTCTCCGGGGTCTCCAACCAGCTCAAACTCCAACTTCATTTGGGTTACGCTACTCCGCCAGAAATATTTTTATCAGTCTGGCTGTGTCAACACTTCTTCCCAGAGGTTCTTTAGTAAATCGAGGCAGGCAAACACGCCTGAGAGGAAAGCTGCCTCCTCACTCCAGTCACCGGAAAGAGTGGGGTCTCAGCTTCTACGCTGCTAAAACACCCTGTTGGAATTGAGTGGGCAATGAAGCCTTCCAGGTATTAGAGACACTCAAAATCTCTCTAGAATAGTGGGTGACATCATCAGATTTCAGTAAAAGAGACATTTACTTACTTAAATCCTAACTACCTCATTTATTATCTAGGTTACCTCAGGCAAATTTCTTATCCTCTTTGGGCCTCTATTTTCTTATCCATAAAATCAGGATCAAAATATCTATCTCAAGTGGTAGGTACGAGTATTAAAAATGAAATAGTGTATGTCAAATGGCCTGGCACAGAGGAAGTGAAAATAAAAGTTACTGCCCTGCCACCTTCCCTTTAAAGGCACTGAGACTGAAGTGAAGAGAGAGAGGGATGGAGACCTCTCTACAGATGTAAAAGAATGAGAGGAAGAGACTAGGGCCCAATACTAATGTCCATTGATTTATTCAGTACAAGAATTACTTCTTCCAAAATACACTCACACCTTACCATCAATTCAGCATTCACGCTTCCTCAGGGATTCGGTAATGCAGCCACTGCTATCTTATTGCCCCGTTCTGGAGAAAATTGAGGCACCAAGGAGGTAACTTTCTAGGTTCATCCAGAAAGTCAAGGGAAGCATAAAGTCAAAGTAATCATAAAGCAAGACAAAAATATATAAAACAACATTTAGATTCCTTGGTATTTTAAATGGCTAATCTGATAACTACTTCTTACTTAGTGCCTACTGTATATCAGACACTCTGCTAGGTGCTTTATGCAATATTTTTATTCAACAAATATCTTTGAAAACCTGACACTATTCTGGACACCGAGAATATAACAATAAGCAAAAAGACAGTGCACTCTGCTCTTGCATAGTCCTGTGCAGCAGCCAGACACCAACCAAATAGTCACACGAGTAAGTGAATAATTACACAATGTGATAACCACAATGAAAGAGAGTTACACAGTGTGAATGTAGTACACAACAGTTTGTAAAACACAGCTTCTCAGCAGAATTGCCATTTGAGGTGAAATCTAAAGGAAGGAACGCAATGAACTAGGGCACCAAGAAGAAGTTCCTGGGCGGGGGAAACAGCCAGTACAAAGACCTTGGGGCAGGACAGAACATTCAAGAAACTAGGTCTGGTTTCATGTGGCTGGTTCACAGAAAGAGAAGAATAAGGTCAGATGAGCCTGGAGAGACCCTGAGACTGTAGTATTCTAGTCAAAAACTTTAGGCTTCATCCTAAAAGCAATAAGAAGTCATTAAATCAATCAATTGATTAATTTATTTGTTTAGGGTTCTGGGATTTTTCAAGGATATCATCCTACCATAAGAATCTACATGATATCTAGTGTAGAATTCAAATTCACTAGACCACAAAATAAATACTGCCTGCATCTAATTCAGAATCCAATAACTTTTACGAATGAATAGCTGCCAGATAGGCCTATCCCTTTTTATCCACAAATTCCTCTGCAGACTTTTAGATCCAAATGGTTAAGTATGCTATGTCACTCAAAATGTGTGTTCAATAGAGACAGAAAGCATTTTCAGGATGCTAAGACAGACCCCTGCTTCTCATGTATGTTTACTACAAGAGTAAGATGTTTTGACGTAAAAGCTGAATTTTGGCTTCAAAGGTTCTTAAGAAAGCTACATCTGCACCACTCAACATAGCAATCTGGAAGTTCACATGGCGAGAATTAAGCATTTCTCACTCAGTTATAAACTGTGAAACGCATTTGAAAATATAATTTATAATTAGAATTAGCATTTTGTCATACCTGGCCAGCAGTAGCTATCTGATTACAAACTTACATTTGTTATAGCATGAAGATCATTGAGACGGGTGGTGCACTGCTCTCCATGAGCTGTCCCAGGCTTAGGAAGACACATAAAATGAGGACAAATTCACCTTGGCTCTCAGTACAACACATGTCACATCAGAACATGATTCATCAGATGACAGCTTTAAGACAAGGTTTGGGAAATAGATTTTGATAAAGTTTCCAGAGGCAAGAAACTTCACTAGTAGTCCACAATTCGTTAAAGCTTTTCATCATCCCAACCCATATGCCAGGGATGGCAAAAGCACACTGACCATTTGTTCCATTTAGCAGCATCTTTCTTTTTCTCTTAAATTCACTTCATGAGTGGCATGCGCCCCGCCCCCCCACCGCTTTTTTTTTTTTTTTTTTTTGAGACAGAGTCTCACTCTGTTGCCCAGGCTGGAGTGCAGTGGCGCGATCTTGACTCACTGCAAGCTCCACCTCCCGGGTTCACGCCATTCTCCCTCCTCAGCCTCCCGAGTAGCTGGGACTACAGGCGCCCATCACCACGCCCACGCCCAGCTAATTTTTTGTATTTTTTTTTTAGTAGAGACGGGGTTTTACTGTGTTAGCCAGGATGGTCTCGATCTCCTGACCTCACTGATCCGCCCGCCTCGGCCTCCCAAAGTGCTGGGATTACAGGCGGCATGCCCCTTTTTAAATTAAAATGAGTTTAACTTAAAAGTTTCTCATTTTAAGAATGTTTTGCCACCTTTACAGTTACCAGAAATATCAGAAAAATTTGAGATTTTTGACAAAGTGGAGTTAAGTAATCATTGCTCTTCATCTTCGTCAGGCTCCAAGAACTCTGGACCAAATCAAAGTTTATAAGAGATGGAGGAGGAAACAAATTCTGTGTTAAATATTCAGGGTCAACTGTTTTAGGATCACGAATTTTTGAGATCCTAAGAAAAGCACATGTCTTTAATTCCTAATTTCTGGACTACTAGATAATTCATGTCCTTAATTTTTTATGTTTACCTTTTTGGCCATTATATTACAATTTCCCTCAGATAATTGCTAAGCAAAAGGAAAGCAACAAAATGAAAACAAATCTCTGTGATACCTTGTTAGCAGCTCTTGTAAAAGTTTAGTTAAGGAAACTGAAGTTCTCAGATCCAATAAGACTTCTGCATAATCTGAAGATGGTCTGTTTGCATGCTCTCCCAGTCCCTTGTTAATATATCTAATCAAAACCTTTGCCTACATCTCTCCAGTATTTAAAGAACAAAAAAAATTCACAAGGAATTTTAACAGCTGAACTCGCAATCTATTCGTAATGTGTACAACACAATTTAATCTAAAAAAGTTGAATTGTTTTATGGAAAGAGCACTAGATTTCTGAGTCAGTAAAGCCGGGTTGGCAGCCCCACCTCTGCTAGGAACTTGACTCTTGATTTTTCATAAGAGAAGATTCAGGTCAAATTTTCTCCACTTTTCACAACTGTCCCAAGTAGAATGAGACACCATCAACTTCAGCACTCCACAAGCACTGTTCCCCTATCACTGGTCTATAGTAACAGTTCGTAAACATACAGATGCCTCTCTATTCACCTCCAACCCTCATCCTCACCACCACCTTCAGTTTCCTTGAGAGCAAAAGTAAATGATTCATTTTTATCTCCTTAGTGATTTGAATGGTTCTTGACACATAGAAGGCCTTCGACAAATGTTCATTGGATAAATGGATGGCCATGAATTCTCGCCTAGTCTTATCCAGTAAGAAGTCTTTGTTTCTCTCTAAATTTCTCCAGGTATCCCTTCAGGACTTCTTGCCCTATAGACTGTATTCTGGTTATTACCTGGATAACAGGTTTTGGGCTTAGACTAGTAGAAAATGAATGCACTAACTTCAAAACATCACTTTAAGGTAACAAATTTCTCTAGATCATTTAAGATGGGTTCTTAAATGAATTGAGCTGTGATTCTCTCACTCCCCAGCAGAACATATGTTGCAAACATCCACAGTCATCTTTCTCATCCCACACATTCTTCTAGAACCTTGCCACTCCCTGTCAAAAAGTGGAATGGATGTTCTTCCCGTTTGAACCTAGGGAGGGCCTTTGTGACTACTTGGAATAACAGAGTACAGGGCAAATGATGCTATGTGACTTCCAAAGTAGTTTTTAATAGGCAACACAGCTTCCACCTGGCTCTCTGCCAGGACACTTGTTCTTACAACCCAGCCACCATTTTGTGAAGAAGCCCAAGCTACATACAGAAGGCCACGTCGGGAGGGAGCCAAGCCCACATCCCTCAATCCCATCCAAGCTTCCAGCCAATCTCCAGTACACATTTGCCAGACACGTGTGTCACCTTGAAGCAGACCCTCCAGCCTTTAGTTAATCTACCCTAGCTGACACTGCATGGAGCAGAGACAAGCTTTCCTTTCTGAGCTCTGCCCGAATTACAGATTCATGAGCAAAATAAATGATTATTGTTGTTTTAAGCAACTAGGTTTTGTTTTGTTTTGTTTTTGAGATGGAATTTCGCTCTTGTTGCCCAGGCTAGAGTGCAATGACATGATCTCGGCTCACCGCAACCTGCACCTCCTGGGTTCAAGCGATTCTCCTGCCTCAGCTTCCCGAGTAGCTGGTATTACAGGCATGCCCCACCATGCCCAGCTAATTTTGTATTTTTAATAGAGATGGGGTTTTCTCCATGTTGGTCAGGCTGGTCTCGAACTCCTGACCTCAGGTGATCCGCCTGCCTCAGCCTCCCAAAGTGCTGGGATTACAGGTGTGAGCCACTGTGCCCGACCACAACTAGGTTTTGAAGTGTTCTGTTACACAGCAAAAAAAGGTAACTGGAACAGTAAGTTTGATGGTAAGAGCAAACCACAGGGCTAATTTTATTTTTCAAGTGATTCAAAATGAAACTCAA